>NC_000023.11:86098905-86401935 GCF_000001405.40 Homo sapiens | reverse complement strand
AGTTTTTGTGTTTAATTCTGTTTCTGTGGTGAATCACATTTCTTGATGTGTATATGTTGAACCAACATTGCATCCTGGGAATAAAGCCTACCTTATTGTGGTAAATTAACTTTTTGATGTGCTGCCAAATTCAATTTACTAGTATTTTGTTGAGGATTTCTTTCATCTATGTTCATCGGGGCATTAATCTGAAGTTTTTTTTTTTTCTTTTTTTTTTTGTCACTGTCTCACTTGTTTAACTACCTTTCACTTACCTGTTAGCCAGTTAAATGTAACTGCTTGTTGATACATGTTCATGAATAATGTAATAAATATTCTCATGCCACTTTTGCCTATTTATGCAAAAGCCAAGAAACTCCATTCTTTCAGTTTTTAAAGCAACCATTAATTTCATTTGAAATATAATATATAGGTGGAGCCAAGATGGCCAAATAGGAACAGCTCCAGTCTACAGCTCCCAGCGTGAGCGACACAGAAGACGGGTGATTTCTGCATTTCCAACTGAGGTACCGGGTTCATCTCACTGGGGAGTGCCGGACAGTGGGTGCAGGACAGTGGGTGCAGTGCACCGTGCATAAGCCGAAGCAGGGCAAGGCATCACCTCACCCGGGAAGTGCAAGGGGTCGTGGAATTCCCTTTCCTAGTCAAAGAAAGGGGTGACAGATGGCACCTGGAAAATCGGGTCACTCCCACCCTAATACTGTGCTTTTCCAACGGGCTTAACAAATGGCACACCAGGAGATTATATCCTGCACCTGGCTTGGAGGGTCCTACACCCACGGAGCCTCAATCATTGCTAGCACAGCAGTCTGAGATCAAACTGCAAGGCAGTAGCGAGGCTGGGGGAGGAGCGCCTGCCATTGCCCAGGCTTGAGTAGGTAAACAAAGTGGCCAGGAAGCTCAAACTGTGTGGAGTCCACCACAGCTCAAGGAGGCCTGCCTGCCTCTGTAGGCTCCACCTCTGGGTGCAGGGCACCGACAAACAAAAGACAGTAATAATCTCTGCATACTTAAATGTCCCTGTCTGACAGCTTTGAAGAGAGTAGTGCTTCTGCCAGCACACAGCTTGAGATCTCAGAAAGGGCAGATTGCCTCCTCAAGTGGGTCCCTGACCCCCGAGTAGCCTAACTAGGAGGCACCCCCCAGTAGGGGCAGACTGACACCTCACACGGCAAGGTACTCCTCTGAGACAAAACATCCAGAGGAACGATCAGGCAGCAGCATTTGCGGTTCACCAATATCCGCTGTTCTGCAGAAACTGCTGCTGATACCCAGGCAAACAGGGTCTGGAGTGGACCTCCAGCAAACTCCAACAGACCTGCAGCTGAGGGTCCTGACTGTTAGAAGAAAAACTAACAAAGAGAAAGGACATCCACACCAAAAACCCATCTGTACGTCACCATCATCAAAGACCAAAGGTAGATAAAACCACAAAGATGGGGAAAAAACAGAGCAGAAAAACTGGAAATGATAAAACTCAGAGCGCCTCTCCTCCTCCAAAGGAACGCAGCTCCTCACTAGCAATGGAATAAAGCTGGACAGAGAATGACTTTGACAAGTTGAGAGAAGGCTTCAGAAGATCAAACTACTCCGAGCTAAAGGAGGAAGTTTGAACCAATCGCAAAAAAGTTAAAAACTTTGAAAAAAAAACTAGACGAATGGATAACTAGAATAACCAATGTAGAGAAGTCCTTAAAGGACCTGATAGAGCTGAAAACCACGGCATGAGAATTACGTGATGAATGCACAAGCCTCAGTAGCCGATGCGATCAACTGGAAGAAAGGGTATCAGTGATGGAAGATGAAATGAATGAAATGAAGCATGAAGGGAAGTTTAGAGAAAAAAGAATAAAAAGAAATGAACAAAGCCTCCAAGAAATATGGGACTATGTGAAAAGACCAAATCTACATCTGATTGGTGTACCTGAAAGTGACAGGGAGAATGGAACCAAGTTGGAAAACACTCTGCAGGATATTATCCAGGAGAACTTCCCCAATCTAGCAAGGCAGGCCAACACTCAAATTCAGGAAACACAGAGAACGCCACAAACATACTCCAGAAGAACAGCAAGTCCAAGACACATAATTGTCAGATTCACCAAAGTTGAAATGAAGGAAAAAATGTTAAGGGCAGCCAGAGAGAAAGGTCTGGTTACCCACAAAGGAAAGCCCATCAGACTAACAGCTGATCTCTCAGCAGAAACTCTACAAGCCAGAAGAGAGTGGGGGCCAATATTCAACATTCTTAAAGAAAAGAATTTTCAACCCAGAATTTCATATCCAGCCAAACGAAGCTTCATAAGTGAAAGAGAAATAAAATCCTTTACAGACAAGCAAATGCTGAGAGATTCTGTCACACCAGACCTGCCCTAAAAGAGCTCCTGAAGGAAGCACTAAACATGGAAAGGAACAACTGGTACCGGCCACTGCAAAAACATGCCAAATTGTAAAGACCATCAAGGCTAGGAAGAAACTGCATCAACTAACGAGCAAAATAACCAGTTAACATCATAATGAAAGGATCAAATTCACACATAACAGTACTAACCTTAAATGTAAATGGGCTAAATGCTCCAATTAAAAGACACAGACTGGCAAACTGGATAAAGAGTCAAGACCCATCAGTGTGCTGTATTCAGGAAACTCATCTCATGTGCAGAGACATACATAGGCTCAAAATAAAGGGATGGAGGAAGATCTACCAAGCAAATGGAAAACAAAAAAAGGCAGGGGTTGCAATCCTAGTCTCTGATAAAACAGACTTTAAACCAACAAAGATCAAAAGAGACAAAGAAGGGCATTACATAATGGTACAGGGATTAATTCAACATGAAGAACTATCCTAAATATATATGCACCCAATACAGGAGGACCGAGATTCATAAAGCAAGTCCTTAGTGACCTACAAAGAGACTTAGACTCCCACACAATAATAATGGGAGACTTTAACACCCCACTGTCAACATTAGACAGATCAATGAGACAGAAAGTTAACAAGGATATCCAGGAATTGAACTCAGCTCTGCACCAAGTGGACCTAATAGACATCCACAGAAATCTCCACCCCAAATCAACAGAATATACATTCTTTTCAGCACCACACCTATTCCAAAATTGACCACATAGTTGGAAGTAAAGCACTCCTCAGCAAATGTAAAAGAACAGAAATTGTAACAAACTGTCTCTCAGATGACTGTGCAATCAAACTAGAACTCAGGATTAAGAAACTCACTCAAAACTACACAACTACATGGAAACTGAACAACCTGCCCCTGAATAACCACTGGGTACATAACGAAATGAAGGCAGAAATAAAGATATTCTTTGAAACTAACGAGAACAAAGACACAACATACCAGAATCTCTGGGACACATTCAAAGCAGTGTGTAGAGGGAAATTTATAGCATTAAATGCCCACAGGAGAAAGCAGGAAAGATCTAAAATTGACACCCTAACATCACAATTAAAAGAACTAGAGAAGCAAGAGCAAACACATTCAAAAGCTAGCAGAAGGCAAGAAATAACTAAGATCAGAGCAGAACTGAAGGAAATAGAGACACAAAAAAACCCTTCAAAAAATCAATGAATCCAGGAGCTGGTTTTTTGAAAAGATCAACAAAATTGATAGACCCCTAGCAAGACTAATAAAGAAGAAAAGAGAGAAGAATCAAATAGATGCAATAAAAAATGACAAAGGGGATATCACCACCGATCCCACAGAAATACAAACTACCATCAGAGAATACTATAAACATCTCTACACAAATAAACTAGAAAATCTAGGAGAAATGGATAAATTCCTCGACACATACACCATCCGAAGACTAAACCAGGAAGAAGTTGAATCTCTGAATAGACCAATAACAGGCTCTGAATTTGAGGCAATAATTAATAGCTTACCAACCAAAAAGTCCAGGACCAGATGGATTCACAGCCGAATTCTACCAGAGGTAAAAGGAGGAGCTGGTACCATTCCTTCTGAAACTATTCCAATCAATAGAAAAAGAGGGAATCCTCCCTAACTCATTTTATGAGGACAGCATCACCCTGATACCAAAGCCTGGCAGAGACACAACCAAAAAAGAGAATTTTAGACCAATATCCTTGATGAACATTGATGCAAAAATCCTCAATATAATATGGCAAACCGAATCCAGCAACACATCAAAAAGCTTATTCACCATGATCAAGTGGGCTTCATCCCTGGGATGCAAGGCTGGTTCAACATAGGAAAATCAATAAATGTAATCCAGCATATAAACAGAACCAAAGACAAAAACCACATGATTACCTCAATAGATGCAGAAAAGGCCTTTGACAAAATTCAACAACCCTTCATGCTAAACACTCTCAGTAAATTAGGTATTGATGGGACGTATCTCAAAATAATAAGACCTATCTATGACAAACCCACAGCCAATATCATACTGAATGGACAAAAACTGGAAGCATTCCCTTTGAAAACTGGCACAAGACAGGGATGCCCTCTCTCACCACTCCTATTCACCATAGTGTTGGAAGTTCTGGCCAGGGCAATTAGGCAAGAGAAGAAAATAAAGGGCATTCAATTAGGAAAAGAGGAAGTCAAATTGTCCCTGTTTGCAGATGACGTGATTGTATATCTAGAAAACCCCATCGTCTCAGCCCAAAATCTCCTTAAGCTGATAAGCAACTTCAGCAAAGTCTCAGGATGCAAAATCAATGTGCAAAAATCACTAGCATTTTTATACACCAAAAACAGACAAACAGAGAGCCAAATCATGAGTGAACTCCCATTCACAATTGCTTCAAAGAGAATAAAATACCTAGGAATCCAACTTACAAGGGATGTGAAGGACCTCTTCAAGGAGAACTACAAACCACTGCTCAAGGAAATAAAAGAGGATACAAACAAATGGAAGACCATTCCATGCTCACGGGTAGGAAGAATCAATATCGTGAAAATGGCCATACTGCCCAAGGTCATTTACAGATTCAATGCCATCCCCATCAAGCTACCAATGACTTTCTTCACAGAATTGGAAATAAACTACTTTAAAGTTCATATGGAACCAAAAAAGAGCCCGCATTGCCAAGTCAATCCTAAGCCAAAAGAACAAAGCTGGAGGCATCACACTACCTGACTTCAAACTATACTACAAGGCTACAGTAACCAAAACAGTATGGTACTGGTACCAAAACAGAGATATAGACCAATGGAACAGAACAGAGCCCTCAGAAATAATGCCACATATCTGCAACTATCTGATCTTTGACAAACCTGAGAAAAACAAGCAACGGGGAAAGGATCCCCTATTTAATAAATGGTGCTGGGAAAACTGGCTAGCCATATGTAGAAAGCTGAAACTGGATCCCTTCCTTACACCTTATACAAAAATTAATTCAAGATGGATTAAAGACTTAAATGTTAGACCTAAAACCATAAAAACCCTAGAAGAAAACCTAGGCATTACCATTCAGGACATAGGCATGGGCAAGGACTTCATGTCTAAAACACCAAAAGCAATGGCAACAAAAGCCAAAATTGACAAATGGGATCTAATTAAACTAAAGAGCTTCTGCACAGCAAAAGAAACTACCATCAGAGTGAACAGGCAACCTACAAAATGGGAGAAAATTTTCACAACCTACTCATCTGACAAAGGGCTAATATCCAGAATCTACAATGAACTCAAACAAATTTACAAGAAAAAAACAAACAACCCCATCAAAAAGCGGGCGAAGGACATGAACAGACACTTCTCAAAAGAAGACATTTATGCAGCCAAAAAACACATGAAAAAATCCTCATCATCACTGGCCATCGGAGAAATGCAAATCAAAACCACAATGAGATACCATCTCACACCAGTTAGAATGGCAATCATTAAAAAGTCAGGAAACAACAGGTGCTGGAGAGGATGTGGACGAATAGGAACACTTTTACACTGTTGGTGGGACTGTAAACTAGTTCAACCATTGTGGAAGTCGGTGTGGTGATTCCTCAGGGATCTAGAACTAGAAATACCATTTGACCCAGCCATCCCATTACTGGGTATATACCCAAAGGATTATAAATCATGCTGCTATAAAGACACATGCACACGTATGTTTATTGCCACACTATTCACAATAGCAAAGACTTGGAACCAACCCAAATGTCCAACAATGATAGACTGGGTTAACAAAATGTGGCACATATACACCATGGAATACTATGCAGCCATAAAAAGTGATAAGTTCATGTCCTTTGTAGGGACATGGATGAAGCTGGAAACCATCATTCTCAGCAAACTATCGCAAGGACAAAAAACCAAACACCGCATGTTCTCACTCATAGGTGGGAATTGAACAATGAGAACACTTGGACACAGGAAGGGGAACATCACACACTGGGGACTGTTGTGGGGTGGGGGGAGGAAGGAAGGATAGCATTAGGAGATATATCTAATGCTAAATGATGAGTTAATGGGTGCAGCACACCAACATCGCACATGTATGCATATGTAACAAACCTGCACGTTGTGCACATGTACCCTGAAACTTAAAGTATAATAATAATAAAATAAAAATAAAAAAGAAATATAATATATATAACAAATAGTTTGTTGTATCACATAATTTATCCCAAATGACTAAAATAACTTCATTAATTATGTACAATTTTACTAAAGCTACTGAACACTTGGAAAGGATCTACTTTTATGAGAGAGTGAAATTGCTTAGAAGAAAATACTGTAATACATTAGAAAATTATTTCATCCAAATGGGGCTATATGTTAGAGATCATCATTATAAATCAGAGAGGATGTTCATGTAACCTTTCAGTTAAGATTCGTTTATGATACTGCCCTTTTTACATATCTCAACCAAAGACAAAATGTTTCCCTAAGATGTGCACTTAGAGTCTCAGTTGTTTCCAATGGCAGTTCCAAACACATCGATAGCAATAGAAGATTGGCCCGAGTAGGGATGACGGCCATGTAAATAAATAAATTGCAAATATAAAACACTTTCCTACGCACAGAGCACTTTATTGAGTTGATGAATCAAAGTAAATTGTGTGCAAAAGACAAGTAAGAATGTCTCATATCAAAGTTCTTGTGTTATTTATTGTGACTACAAAACTCTTCAGACACCCTGGGCTATATTTCCTAAACTTGGTTCTGAACACTTTACCGACATGATGTTTTATATATTATATCTTAAAGGAATTCAGAAAGGATATACAGTCTTACAAATGCATGATATTGCTTATTTCATTTTTAAAAATCTTTACCATTTTCATAAGATTGTTTAATATCCCAGTTTCTTCAAAGGTTTGGCATTACAAACAAAAATATTCTTTCATAGCTTATAAGCAAAAGATCTTTCACTATTAGTTAGCAACTTGAAAATATCAAATTTTTCAAAAGAAATACTCTTTTATCAGGTAGGCTTTTCTATAATAATGAAACTTGACTAGCATCAATTAAATACATTTTAAATTTTTCAGATTACTTAGCACTTAATTTAAAATGATATTTTGTTCTATTTCATAAAACAATTGATATTCTTTGAAAATACTAGGAGCATTAATACTGAATATAAATTGGAAGGCATATTAATTCTGAGTCAACTATAATACCTCTGTTGATGACTTTCCAATGACAATAATAAAATTATAATTAATTATCATAAACTAATATTTATTTAGCACTTACTGTATGTCAGGAAAAGATGAGTAAGCCAGAGTCTTACCCTAATAGAACTTACAATATAACAGGGATCATAACGTAAACACGTATGCAATCATGGGACTAGGCAGTACATGACAAGTACAAAAAAAAGTAGTTAATGTAGAATGCTATACAGTTACAGGGGAGGAAGGTGATCATTGATACCCTGAAACATCATAAAAAGTTTCATGGGAGAGCGGTAGCTGTACTGAAAGGTATAATTTCAAAATGCAGAGACAAAGGAAAAAAAAGACATTTATAATGATGAAAATAATAATAATAATAATAATAATAATAAAATAGCTACCATTTATTAAGTGTTAATTCTATGTCCAACACTGGGATAAAGATAAGTGTTTTATATGTGTTAACTCACTTAATCCCACCCAGTCAGGTAGGTACTCATTCTTTCTCCATTTTACAAATGAAGAGACTGAAGTTAAATTGCTTTCCCACAGTTACAGAAATATCAAGTTCACCCAAATTAAACTCTATTTCTAGCTGCTTATAGGCATCACCAAGTAAATAAAAATAGATTCCCATTATCTGATACCTCAAAATAAAGATTCCTTCCCAATTCTACAATTTCTATACCCATTCCCTCAGTTTACCTGGTATGTAGAAATCATCTTTAACTCTTCTGTCACAATCCACATCGAATCAGTGACCAAGCCATGGGAGTTCTGCCTTTGCAGTTTCTCTCAAAGTTACTTTATTCTCTTTATTACCACAGCCATTTTACATAATCACCCAAACCCTTAACCACCTTTGTTTATCTTAGCATTGAAACTCTCCAGTAATCTATGTATTGCGTTAACATGCATTTATTATGTCTCAAACAACATGCTGAGCAATGGGAATACAATGATGGATAAAGCATGACTCACGTAATCAAAGAATCTAGTTGATAGGCATATATAGAATGATGAGTAGATTTAGCAAGATGAAGGGCTGAGGTATGGGGAGAAGGGGAACAGAAGTGTGTTTCAGGTAGAGAGACAGCATATGTGAAATTCTGAATGTGAGAGAGAAAATGGAATGTTCAAGGACACCAAGGTAATTGAATTGATAATGAGTAGGGAGAAAGTAGCTTAAGATTTAAAAGATTAACAAGGTGGGCAGGGGTTAGATAAAATGCTACAGGGTAGCATTTCTTATTTTTCTCAACCTCAGCACTATTGACATCTTAGGCTGGATAATTCTCCACTTTATGGGAACTGTACTGTGCATTATAGGATATTTATTAGCATTCCTGACTGCTACCCACTAGATGCCATAGCACCACCACCACCCATTGCGACAGCCAAAAAGGCCTCCAAACATTGCCAAATGTCCCATAGGAGCAAAAATCACCTCTGGTTGAGAACCACTGGCATAGGACCTTGTAAGCTATGTTAAGATATTTTAACTTTATTCTAAGAGCAAGAGGGGCAGCGTGTGTAGCACTGTTAAGGAAGGACTAATTCTCAAGATTAGTCAAGAATGGAGACAGAGAAGCAAATCAGGTGAGTAAGCAATATCTAAGTGTTATTTTTCTTGTTCTGCAGTCATACCATTTCAGTGTAAGTGGGAAAGTGTTCTTTAGTATTCCCATCATATGCCATAATTATTTCTAGCTCTTTGCCTTTGGTCATGTGGGCTCTTAAAATCTAGAGTAACAGTTTTCTGATGATTCAAATCTCCCAAATTGACTTAAGTTCTAAATTTGGATAATCTTATGTCCTGACTTATTATCCTCCACAAAACCATTTCAGCCTAACTTTTTCTCTTACCACGAGTAATTGAGTAATTTTAATTCTTATGTCTGTAGTCTATATATCATACAATATCACCCTTTCTTTATTTAGTACTTTGGGATTATTTTATGGTTTATTCAGGCTCATAGTTGGTATCTTTGTGGACTAAATTATAAACTCCTAGAAAACAGAAACAATATGTTCTACATGTTATACATTTTATACATCACAGAGTAAAATGTTTGCCAAGAACAGGTATCATTTTAATCAAATTCAGAATCAAGCATTATGTATCAAAATGGATGTTTATACCCTTCAACTAAGCAATTATTCTAATAGAACTCCATAATGGAAGTAGATAGGAAAACAAATATAAAATTAATCATTGAAACATCCATTATAGCAAAATGTTGGAGAAAACATGTTTTCTTTAATAAAGAAAATGAAAAATATGCATACTTATGTAACAAACCTGCCCCCGTTCTGCACATGTATCTCAGAACTTAATGTATAATAAAAAAAAATTGCAAACTATTTAAAAAATGAAAAATAAATTATTAGTGTCTAGTGCAAAAAAAATCATGTTCCATTGTGTGATTTACCCACGATCTAGAATAAGATTCAGAATTAAACAACTTATTTTCTTATATAAGTAAAGGTAAATCATTCTTACATTTAATGGTAAACCCCATTTTCTTAACTGTTAACTAGGAACAAATTTTGCTGATTCTTTGCATCAAAGAATAGTTGGGGCTCCTAAATTAAGGATTTTATATCCCTTACACCACTTTGTAGGGAATGTATCAATAAAAAGTATGACCAGAGATCCTACTTTATGTAATTGGTTATGTGATGTTCGTAAGGAAATGAGTACTATGGATTTTTATCCTTACAAAAGCTTAAATTATGTAAGAAATAAGTGTTTAGAAAAATCCTCAAAGCCGTATTTTTTAAAACCTCATGTAGAAAGACGAGGTTAACTTTGATGTACATGGTTATATTCCACTTATGTCATTTAAATGTGGTAGTTTCAGTATTTTATATTCAATATTTCAAATAGTTGGTGTTTCTACAACCCCTTATAAATTATAGTACAATTCCACTGGAAAGAACCTCAAAACGTATTGTCTAGACTTTTGGTTCAATCAAATAAGTGACTGAATAATCGAGAAACCAGTCTTTTTTTTTTTTTTTTTTTTTTTTTTTTTTTTTTTTTTTTAAGACAGAGCCTCACTCTGTCACCCAGCCCGAGTGGTGCACTGGCATGATCTCAGCTCACTGCAACCTCTGCCTGCTGGGTTTAAGTGATTCTCATGCCTCCGTCTCCTAGTAGCTGGGATTACAGGCATGTACCACCACACCTGGCTAACTTTTTGTATTTTTAGTAGAGACGGAGTTTCACCATGTTGGCCAGGCTGGTCTCCAACTCCTGACCTCAGGTGATCCACCCGCCTTAGCCTCCCAAAGTGCTGGGATTACAGGCATGAGCCACTGCACCGGGCCAAGAAACCTTTCAAAAGCTCCAAATATTAAAGAATTTTATTTTTTCATAAACTGACAATAAAACCAAGAGAGGAGGTTTACTATATTTCCTATATTTTAAATACCCTATAATCGGGCATGGTGGCTCACATCCGTAATCCCAGCACTTTGGGAAGCCGAGGTGGGCAGATTACTTGAGGTCAGAAGTTCAAGACCAGCCTGGTCAATATGGTGAAACCCCGTCTTAACTAAAAATACAAAAATTAGCCAGGTGTGGTGGTGCATGCCTGTAATCTCGACTACCCCGGAGGCTGAGGCAGCAGAATCGCTTGAACCTGAGAGGCGGAGGTTGCAGTGAGCTGAGATCGCATCACTGTACTCCAGCCTGGGTGACAGAGTAAGACTCTCTCAAAAAAGAAAAAATAATAATAATCTATAATTGAAAAACTGATTAGATTATTGCTTCTAAGAAATTCCAACATTTTACTCCTCAGCCTACCAAATACATTAAATGGGATAAATTAGAATATCTAATTACAAATTTATTCCACTTTCATAAAGTCCTCAACACTAAAATTCTGTTTTTAAAATCATCTTTTTAGGAGTTAAAAGCAAGGTCAAGGTTTCCTGCACTCCCTCTCCCCTTCTCCCGCCTCCTGTATAAGGATATTATCATTCACCATAATTTTAAACAACCTAACAGCTTACACTCAAATTTGAGAGGCATTACAGACTTTCTTTGAAAGGTTAAGTGACCAAAACAAATCTGTCCAATTTTAGCTACTGAATGTGCTTACATGGGAATAAATTAGTTTAGCAGAGATGTTTTTTTTTAACCAGAGACATTGCCAGCTTTTATTTTGTCAGGTGATTCCAAAATCTCGACAATGCTTCCACCCTGTTTTAAACGAGAGCTAATAAGAGTAGATCTTCTTGTATGTCATCTTGGAAACTTTTCACAGGCATCCTCAAGCGTCTAATATAAAAGTAACCAAGGGGTGCCAATGATGAAAGACTCTGTTGCCATGGTGTCATCTTATAAATCATCAATTATTGTCTGTTATTATGAACGTGACAACCACATACTGTCATAAAAGGATTTGCATTTTAGTCTAGTTTTAAGATTTTTTTTCCAGCATCATTTGCTTTGTAAAAGAAATGTCATGACAACCGCAGAACACTTAAGCTCGTTATCGAGTAATTCGGTATTCATTTGGACTTTGTCAGTTTGGCATTTCGGCATCCCAACCTCTTTTACATTATTAAGTAGTTTATCGTTTATCTTTACAGTTCATAAATATATTTCTAAGCATGAGTATATAGCATAATAACCTAAACCTAACAGAAGCAATGGGACTTTTTGGTTGCTATGACGACCTAAACTGATCAATTTTCTGTCACTGTTTTTAAAGAGGCACTCTCCTGTGGCCATAAATACTAATTACAAACGCAAGCCATTTGCTAACATGTTCAGTTTACAGATTAAAGCAGTTCATGCCTAATTTATCATTTAACTTGTCCTCCCACATTTGTAGTGTGGTACAGAATGAATAATAACTTCACTTGTTTACAACATTTTCAACTTAATGTCACTAATTATTTTTGCAGTTGCTGGAATTTAGCTGTGCTGCTACAAGTTCAGTAAACTCAATAAATTTGTAAAGTGCAAGGAAAGATTCCTAAATGTAATTTATGGATTAAGTTTGAAATATTCCCTTAAAACTCCTTCCCATAACTGATCATTTAAAAGAAGATGGTTATATTTTACCTAATAAAGTTGCAAAATTGTCAAGAACATACTTGCAAGAGTGTCCATCTATTCATTTCAATCAAATAAAGAACTAAGATATTTGGTGGAAAACTGTAGTGAATAATTTAAATGAAAGTACCAGTTGATACTACGAATGAGTAGTCTAGCTTTTGAAAGAAAGCAGTAGTTTCAGGTGTGGGGTCAGGGAATAATAATAAATCCATAAGGCAGTAAAGTCATAGTACTGTATAGTCTAATATTAAGCCCTCCCTTTCTCACCGAAACACATATTTTATATAAGCCTTAAAGTCTGTATTTTTTGAGCAAGAGAGATACAGATGGGGAGAAAATTGCTATTTCAGAGTGTGAATAACAGCAATGCCATAAAATTAACTATCATTAGAGAATTTCTGACTCCGACCAACACCTGTGGAAAATGTTAGGCCACCATTATCCCATACAGAGTTTTTTTAACTAAAACATTTCTGTTTTCTAGCATTCATGAATTACATAATGGACAAAGGTATGCTAGTATATATAATTCTGATTTAAATATTAAGAAAGGAAAGACCCCCTAAACTGATCTTGACCATTGTCTCACTAATCCCAAAGCCTAGAATTTGATTGAAATATTTTTGCAGTTTCCAAAGCTACATGGTTCTTCCTGGACTTCAAATATTAACGTAGCATTTCCAGGGAGGCTGACAACTTCTCACATTCAAATACAATAAACATGCTCCAGTTGATTCTCTGTAAAGAGAAGCTAGAAACTGAAAAGTTTACCTCTGGGAATACGTACAGAATACATTGGTTTGTGGGGAACTGGGCAAAATGGGAGACATGAGGGCCCTATTACTATCTCCAAACTATTCTCACCAAAATATATTGCTTAACAGGGCCTAACTTGCCACCCCCATCAAAGCTTCACTCTGTCTTCAATTTTATAAAAGAGATCCTTTCCATAACTCCTGATAGCACAAATTGTACATCCAAAGAAAGTAAAAATCCTTTAGTGGATCTCCTGTGGTTGCACAAGAAGGAGTGACAAAGCGCTTCCAACTGCTTCTCAACCCAGCAGCTGTAGCCTCAACACTCTAGGGCTCCAAGGGCCTCCTGACAGCCTGTGCTCACAGGTGCTCCTCTTCTTCTAGCACCAGCTCAGTGACTGCAGCAGGAATTTTACATCACCACAGAATTAAGGTGAAAGCTTCAGTGCCCTTATTTCAAAGGAAAATCTGGTCAGCTTGAAGCAATGAAAACTAATCAGAATGCAGCCAGCCATTGGCTGGGAGCACATGCTCAGCAAAACAAAGGCTAGAATCAAAAGTTTGGGGGCTTTTTTTGCATATATAGCCATTTCAACTGTATGTTTCTGCCTGCATTTTGTTACATGGACTTCTAATATCAAAAAGTAATTTATAAAATGTCATAAGCTGCTATACGATACTTGGTGAGAAATAGAAAATAATGTAAGTGTTAGTAATATAATTCAATGGCTCAGTAAATATTTATTGAATATTGAAACCTAAATGCCAGGAAAATATGCTAGATACTAAAGAGACAATGGTTAGCAAAACAAAGGGATGGTCCCGACCTTTACAGTGCTTAGGAAATTTGCATTGAATTATGCATTTTCAAAGAATTCTTATAAGTTTTGGTTTTACTCATTTTTGCTTTTCATAACAACCCTGGAAGAGAAATTCCTAGGTTCATTTTATGGATTAAAAAAATAGAGACTTCTAGATGTTAAGTGATTTGCTTGTGATCATAGAGCTAGTAGATGGTCCAGTGAGGGACTGAACACAAGATTTCCAAAGACAAATTCCAGCCTTTTACCACTCGTATGGCATTTCCTAAAGTGCATTTTATGGAATACTAGTTTCCAGAACAAAAAGCTACTTTAATCAAAAAAGACTGGAAAATCTTCTATATAATATATTTTCCTATAGAATCACAAAGCAAATTAACAAATTATAGGCTCCAAGAAGACCTGCAGTAACCAAGTTTGTTTACCTTTATTTAATCCCATATTTCCCAAATTTATTTGACCCCAAACCCTCTCTGAGAAAAATAAAATGATCCCAGAGTGACTCACAAACTGAAGATTAAGTAGTGTATTGGGATGCTGGATAAGGGGATAGGTTTCAGGTAGGACATGTATCTTGGAGTTACATAGCATATTTCTAAACCTATGCATGAAAATTAAGGTGTGTGACTGTAGAAGACTATGAGGCTTTTCATTCTTTTCTTGCTGCTGGATGTTATAAGAGTAATGGGCAAATTCATATGGTGAGAGAATAAGACTTATGTGCATTACTAGGATGATGGAAAATTTAGGAGACAAACAAGAAAATGAAACCAAGAGAGACTCTCTGGCCCTCTTTTTTGGCCACCTTTAGCACTTTCTTAGGATTGAGCAGATCAAAAATTCTCCTAACCACAACTTGAAGAAATGGTTTCTGACTCCAGGACTGGAGCAGGAAATATACAAGATGAGTCTGGAACATCCAGTGCAAGAAAGTAAGGAAGTGTATGAAAAAATCCACAATGTTGGGGGCATGTCAAAGGTACGCAGGAGCCTACTGAAAGAGTTCCCAATGGCCAAAGCTGAAACAATTTAAGCAATAAAATAAATATTGTAGTACTGGATTATAACCCAAAGTATAAAATAAACACCTAGAAGTCTATGCTGATATAAATAAGTAATTGAATAAATACATAAATGGGACAGAAAAGGCAAATCTCTCATTTAGAAGAATTCCAAATAATTTTGCACAGTGAGTGCTTTCCAAAGACTGCTAAAGAGTATAATATAGAAAGAAAGAAAAAAAAAGAAAGAGAGTAAACTTTACAATAGAAAAACCTGACAGATACTTCCTGAGCCCCGTGATCAAGGTCAATCTCAACAGTAATAAAAAACAATAGTATATACCCTTTACATGATATGATGAAAATGGCATTTTGCCTCTGGGGTCTTTCCCCCAAAAACACATAACCCCAATTTAATCATGAAAAAAGCATCAGGTGAACCCCAGTTGAGGGACATCCTACAAATACCTGACCACTACTCCTCAAAACTATCAAGGTCATTGAAAACAAGGAGAGAAACCGTTACAGCTGAGAGGAGCTTTAAGAGACCCGCGGATTAAATAAAGTGTGATGTCCTACATTTTGGAACAGAAAAGAACATTAGAGAAAAGCTGAAGAAATATGAGTAAAGTATAAACTTAGTTAACAGTGTGTCAATACTGGTTCATTAGTTAGGACAAACTGATTCTGTAATTGTAAGATGTTAACAACAGAGGAAACTGGCTACGGGGTGAATGGGAACTCTCAGTGCAGTATTTGCTTTCTTTCTGTATTTTATTTTTAAAACTGTCCTAAAAATAAAAGCGTATTTAAAAACACACACACTTCCTTTAACCACTTCTGTGCTGAACCCAAGGTTATTAAAAAGTGTTTTA
Organism: Homo sapiens; assembly: GCF_000001405.40. Lineage (NCBI taxonomy): Eukaryota > Metazoa > Chordata > Mammalia > Primates > Hominidae > Homo > Homo sapiens. The sequence continues at coordinate 86,385,805 of NC_000023.11, read as the reverse complement.
CCCTACATTAATTGTATCTAATTTAGTTCCAAAATTCAGAGTGATTTTTGAAGACAGAGAGCTGGACATTCATAAACTATGGAAAGCACAATGTGATTTTAATGCTACTAAAAAGTAAAATATAGTCATCACTCGATATCCCAGGGGGATTGGTTCCAGGACCCCCAAAGATACAAAAATCTATGGATGCTCAAGTCCCTTATGTAAAATGACATAGTATTTGCATTTAACCTGTGCCCATCCTTCTATATGCTCTAATTCATCTCTAAATTACTTATAATACCTAATACAATGTAGATGCTATGTAAATTGTTGTATACTGAATCTTTATTTGTATTTGTTTGTATTGCTGTCTTGCTATTTATATTGTTTTTCTTTTCAAATATTTTCAGTCCAAGGATGCAGAACCATGGATACGGAGGGCTGCCTCTATGTATACACCATTTTTAAATGGGATGTGTCAATCAGATGTTCCAAATCCCTTCACTTAATGTTCTGAATACAGTGGGTGCTATAATGCCAAGTATATTTGATGATAAAAAATAAAAACTACTACCTTCTTTATACCTAATATGTTAGAAACATTAATATGTGATTTAGTGGGTATTTGTAAAACTTGCAGCATAAAGCATATAACGTCACCATTTTTGTAATTTAGACTAGTTTCATTTTAAAGCAACAAAACAATACAGATCTGTTGACAAACTATGTTACACTAACATACTGTTTGGCTAGGACTAGCCAGCTAAAAGGAAAATGTCCAAATTGAAATAAAAATGTTCAAATGAAAACCAAAGAAAATGTTGTTTATATATTTCAGAAAAAGTATTCTCTATTGGAAGAGTATTTTATAATGATAAATCAGTTCACAATCTTTTTAAACTCTCCTAATTGTAAAGCGTGGCTGCTGTTATTAACAGGCTTCGATGTTTTATATGTTTTAACAGCTTTTGCACATTTTTAAAAACATCTGGAACACTGTCTCAGATGATACAGTATTTTGAATCATAAATTATGAATATCACTTACATAAATCTATTGATTGAGCTACACATTTTTTACATCTCACCTTTCTAATGGATTTATTTTAAAACAACTTCACATTTTATTGCTGATTCATTTTATACTTGCCCTCTTTTGAACATTAACATTAGTTTAAAAACAAAAATTCCAATGATAGCCTAAAATAACAAAAGATCTTTAGAGTCCTCATACACTGGGAGAAGAACCCATTGAGCAATTGAATTCTTTGTATTGAAAACTCAGTGTTATCAAAAACAGAAAGCAGGACATGTCTTTAGGGCACGTTGCCATGGAACATAATTCCTTCAAGGACTACAAACCATAATAGTCCTATTTCTTAACATTATTTTTGTAGCATTCATCAAGATGTATTACAAACCCTACCAATTTAGGGACAATGCCTTGCCTTTTCAAATGCATTCATACTGGGTCTTAGAATCAACTCCATTTTAGAAACTAATTAGTTACACTGACAAACTTTTAAGAATAGGGCTATACAATTTTAGAAAATGTCACCACTCTTTTGTAAATTAATGATATGTTCCCCATTGCACAATAATAGGTGGTTATGAGCCTTTCCTCTTTATCCTGTCTCAGTCATTTAGTTACATCTACCCTGTGCCCTCCAGAGAAATTCATGGTCTGTCACCCTACTCATTGGTGTATAGATTTATAGATATTTCAGCAGTCCCTTCATTTTCACATCACTAGGCAACTCTTTGGAGTTTAAAAGAAACGACAGACTTCACCTGAACATTCAGATAAGTATCCTCCAATTTCAAAAGTCTATTTTCTTTCTGTAATCCCACTTTGCTTTCATTTTTAAAGAAACACACAGCCTGAGACACCTTTGCATTATTAAATGTACATGCAAAACATTACATTATTATGCTACACGTGGCTAAGAAATTTTAGTATTCACAGGATTATGGTAATTAAGTCTTCCTTCACATTGGGTGATGTGACACTTGCTTGACTATAATGTCACTCCACTTAGAGTCTGTGTAAACAACATTATCTTAGTCACTCTGCATTACATTTCCAACTGTGAGAAATATTACAAGGTCAGAGTGGACAAGAATGTAGGTAATCCCAAAGAAACAGCATGTAAATGACTTGCTCAAGGTTCAAACTGGGTTTTCAATAATAAAAGAAAATATTTTATAGTAATATTATAGTATTATTATCTAGATGCCGTCCTTGGCAAAGCACATGGGTATTCTTGAAGTCAGTGGTCAAGACAAACGTGTCCATGGTTTTGACTTTTTCTGATAAAAGATAACAAGTTTCGTTTGCCAAGGCTTCGTTCAGACTAACAAAAGTGGGGATACTCAATAGGGAGTAGTTCAAGGAAAGACTGCAATTGGTTTTGCGAATAGAGATGTATCAACGCCTCAAATACATATAGCATTTCTGAATAATGCAGGTGATAAAGGCCATATGACAATGTTCATATTTCCTCCTTTCTTGTTTTTTAATAAATACTGAGCAACTGCAATATATTTTTTAATGAGAGTACTAATTTCCCAATAATCTTGTCAGTTACTTGGTGAAATATGTCCAAGAAGTGTTGTCTTGAAAATGTTCTGACCTACATCTTTGAAACTGTATTAAAGATTTTGAGATAGCTTGTGTTTTAAGTGATTTATTTCGTGTTTATGAAAAAAATTAGCTAACCCAGTTGAATCTCCACATAGGATAGGTAGCATCTGGGCAGAAATACTGTAGATTATCTTGGCAGAGATTTTGATTCTCTGAACTAGTGGAAGCAATGCAATAAAATAGTGGTTTCCAGAGTATGCTTAAACTAAAAACAGGATGGCAATTAGCAAAAATAGCAATGAAAGATCTTAAATATGGGCCCCACAGTCCGTTAACAAACAGGCCCAAAGCAACTTACGTGGGATTCTCTAGGCTTATTGTTACATTTGGACAATTAGGTATATGTATGCAAATTGTATTAATCTGAAGATAATTTGAACAAAGTGTGTGAACCACAATTTTCTTGTAATACCTGGTGTTGAAACTCTGTAGGAGGTCAATTCACTTTCTAGGAATGCTATAGTCAAAACATTTTCCCAGGACTACTTATAGAAAGAAAGGTCTCTAAGAATGTCTTCATCACAAGAGATTAACTGATTTATATTTTGTTTGCCAGAACTGCCACCTTCCATAAGTAGAAGCTTCACTCGTAACCAGTGTTCAATGTCCTCACAGGTTAAGTTTTCTTTTTAAAAGTCATTGAAAATAACAGATATTCTGTGCTGGCAAGAGGACGTGTGTGTGTGTGTGTGTGTGTGTGTGTGTGTGTGTGTGTGTGTATGAATGTAGCATATTTGCAACTCTGAGAGTTTAAACAAAATCAGTTTCTACTGATTCCCTTTTCTACTTTAATCTCCTGTAATATTAGACAGTTTGGTTTCTAACTCAGTGGTCTTTCCCATACACATAGAATCTAAGAAAAGCTGAAAGTTCTGTGTTAAACCTCAGGATAAAGATCCAGATCTTTCAAATAAAAAGTCTCTCTCCAAACACAAAATCTAATTACTTACCCCCTTATTCAAAAAGAAATAAAGGGGGCACGTGTCTCAGGACCTCCTGAGGCTATTTCATGGGCTCGTGTCCTTAGAAAAAAAAGAAAAGAAAAGAAAGAAAGAATATAGAGTCGTCAACCTGAGTCCTCTCTCTGCTTTAAGTAGTTACGTGTAGCACCATAAAAGTACTGCTGGAATCAAACATTAAATGAGCTGAAAATCTTGAATATTTTCTTCTGAATCAGAAATGTGCATAAAAGGAGCTTGAAAGCAAACACAAAGTCATAACAAATAGTTGTTGAGCTTTCTTTGTTTTTTTATTTCAGCATTTAGAATGTGATGCTTTGAAATGGGAAAAACTGAACATGAATTCGAAATCATGTGTCACATCTTCTCTTCCACCATCCACCCCTAACTGTCCTTGAATTAGAAGAAATGTAAGTATAATGATGGTAAAGTTATGATCTTATTAACTGAGCCAGAGAGAGTGTTACAACAATTTTCACAAATTGACCAAATTCAATTTTCTCCTTATGTTTTATGCACAATAAATGAATTACAGCTTCAAGGAAAAGGAAAGATACGTATCATAGATCAAAGCATATACTATTTATCTAAGAGATTGTTTAGTCTAATACTGTAACTTAAAAGATGCAGCAACTGAGGTCCAAAGCCACAGATTTATGTGCAGAGTTAAGTCCATGGACTTATGACTCTTTTTTTCCCCAGAGCTCTTGCTGTTATACCATACTGTCTCATCAAATGAAAGTTTATGGGAAAGTGCTTGTAACTTAGACGATACTTTACAAATTTAAAATAGTATCTTTAATCCTTATCTTAATTACATATGTTTTAAGATGAAGAATAATGACAAAAATAGTATCTGTAAATATTTTTATCTGTGCTAAGTGATCGGAATCAATATTTCATATGTATGTGTATAATCGTAAGAGAATAAAAAGAATTATTTTTTCTTCAAACAGATCATTCATTAAAAATATCTACTACGCTGGCAATAATGTGAGGAAATGGGACCTCTTGTATATTGCTGGTAGGAGAGTAAATCAGAACAGCTTTGGAGAACAATTTGGCAGTAACCATTAAAGTTGAAGACACACATAGCCCACAACCTAGAAATTGCACTTCTAGGCTGATATCCTAGAGAAATACTCCCATATGGGTGCAAGACATGACCATTACAGCACGGTTTCCAACAAAAAATTGGAAACAACCTAATTATCAACCTATGAATATAGGAAAGAATTATCAAATTGTGTTATACAAGGTAGTATAACGGACAATTAAAAAATAAGTGAACTAGATTTACATATATCAATACGGATAAATCTCAAAAACATAATGTAAAAATACTTAAAAAGAATAGTATGATATCACAACAGTTTGATACATCTTAAAACAAAAAATTAAAAAAACACAAAAATCAACATTGCATGTTGTTTGTGTATAAATACACACATAATTTTAAAAAGACACAGCAATGATACACACTGATTTTAGGATTAGTGGTCATCTTTCATTTGTGGAGTAAAAAGGAGATTATTGTTAGTCATAATATTAATGTTTCACAGATACAAATTTTTTTCAGATACAATTTTTAAAATTAAACTGTGGATTAAGTGTAGCAAAATGTAGACCTGAATATTGATCCACAAGTTTTTCTCAGTATTTCCTGCTCTTTCCTTATTTTTTTCTTCCTGCTTTATCTGAACTATTTTATAATCTTGCTAATTTATTACACTATCAAAATGATGCTACCAAACTTGATTTCTGAATAGAAATGTCATTTTTCAATAAGTCATTTAATATATAATAGTAAATGAGGTGTTTTTCTAATTAGTCTGATTCCATTTGGCCGGTTATAAAATATATTGGCCCAAAGCATATGAGCTTTGAAACTAGACTGCTTTGATTCAAATGCTGTCCCTGGTATTTATAGGCTGTATGACCTTGGGTAAATCATATAACCATCTGTGTGACTCAGTATCACCAACTGTAAGACAACGATTATAATTGCAGCACCTATCTTATAGAGTTGTTACGATGATTAAAAGAACTAATATGTGAAAAATCACCTGAACTCACGTTTGATAAATGTTAAATATTATTATGTCTTGGCAAAAAAAGAGGATTAATTGTTCATCAATATTTTATCCTGAATTATCTTATTTATATGTCTATGCTGGTCAAATGCATCAAATAATCACTCATTTCTTAAATTCTCTACCTTTGAGGATTAACCACTTAACTAAAGATCCTTAATTATTAGAGTTTTAGTAAATAAGTTTCATTCATTAGTATATTTAAACATATTGCATCCCAATCATGTAACAGATTACTTGTGGTCAAAACTAGCTGATGATCTGGAAAGGGCAGCACTGTCTACCCAAATTTTATTTAAGTAAACATCAGCTATTTTGCACATTGTCATATGTGTTGACCAGTTACCCAATAATTTCTCATCTTTCACGTGTGTTTGTGTTAAATCTGCAACTAGAATGATTTGTCAAGGAATGAGATTTTTTTCTAGTTTATTTAGGATTTGAGATAATGCCTTCAATTCTTTCTCTTTCTTTTTTTACTTTTCTTTTTAAAGTTCTCGACTTTCTCATCAGAAGTGAAAATGTTAATTTACCATCCTCAATAAGGATTTATGGTACAAATCATTGTGACCATTAAAGCAGGTTTAACAGTGGGGTGTTTTCTTTCTCTTTTTCTTTCTTTCTTTTTTTTTTCCTAGAGAGATTGGAATTTAATTGTTTCCTTTTTAGACAAATATGCTTTTGGATTGCCAGTGATGAAAGGGGCATACAGATGTCAAAAGCATTGTAGCACAGTGGGATTATGTGCTAAGGTCCATGGCAGGACAGACAAACAAGCAAAGTCTCAGATCAGTCAAACAGTTACCTTTTAATAAAATCTCAGATGACCAACTTTGTTTTATCTTTGCCAATGCCTATCAAAAGTTCAAATGAAGTTTTGTTGTGTTAACTGCTTACATTTCTTTTATTTCTTATTTTAACCATTTGTAAAAATAAAGGAATTTTGCTAGATGGAATTGGGAATTTGTTTAAAGGCAAGCCAATTTAAAATAAAACAACACATGTTATACACATGGCTTTCTTCTTATTAAAACAAAATAAATTGGACTTTAAATAGAAACCTTAATTATGTTATGTGATGAGAACTATACTTAAGTATTCTTTTGTGGACATGGCAGTAATAATCTGTTTCATACTGCATTTCACTGATAACAGGAAAGCAAAAAAATACTAATTTAATTTTAATTTTCAAATCACTTGAAGGAAAAACTATATTGCCTATTTTGAAGTAGTAAAAAATAAAACCCACAAAGCGCATAACCACCATTTTGAGTACCAGAATAATTATTTGTAAGCACTCCCACTGGTTATTTATTCACCTTATATGAATTTTCCATGATCAAAGGCTTCAGGTGCATTTATAACAAACTGTGATTCTTTTTGCAATTGCAATATCTTGAGGACTCACCATTTAGAGCAGAGGTCGCAAACTGACAGCCCATGGGCTATATCCTGACCCCAGATGGATTTTGTTTTGCCTGTGCAGTGTTGCTTTTTTTGTTTTGTTTTGCTTTTTATTGAGTTAGTTACCAACATTTAAGAATTGGAGAATTTCATGTAAAAATCGTAATTCCCAGCTTCTTTTAAAAAGTCAGATCTTAACAATACTGAGCCTGCATTCCCACATGGTAATAATCAGCCAAACTGAGTAACAGCCACCACTTTGGAAAAGAATATATACTCCCTGGTTCACCATAGTCCCCACCACTCTGTATTTCTTATAGTCTTTCATTTACGTTACCATCCTTGCCTCAGTAGGGATTGGAGTTTGCGACTCTCCTGGTTTCTCTATAGTTTATGTGAGTGACTTGATACATATACTTTCAAAAACACTTCATGGTTTTTCTCTGATTGCAATAAATGTAAAAATATTATATATATATATGTACATATGAAAAGTATGTTTTGATAATCCAGAAATAAATCTATATAGTTATAAATTACTGCTATATTTAATGAAGAAAGAACTTGACTTAATTTGCTTGTCATTTTACTAGAAAATCAAAAATAAAGTGAAAGCCAATTTCAATGCCTGAATTCAATTGCATTCATATAAAATCGGAAACACTTTCAATATCCAAGCCTAGACTCAAAACATAATCCATTTACTATTTTACAGTTAAACTCAGTCATTAATAAAATCTAGTGGGTTTTAGTCTCCCCAGCATTGATATCATTGTCTAATAGAAAGTTTGGCACTTAAGGAGGCACATCCACTGCTTCAGGTCACTTGGGTATTATTTAGTGTGCATGACATGTAAAACTAACTTTTAATATAGAAAATGTCACAGATACTAGAAACACCACCATAGTGATGTTTTATTTTGTATGTTGAAAACCCAGGATAAATCCATGGTATAGTCCTCATCTCCCCTACAGCTCCATGACGTTTTTCTTATAGAAAAATATGGATAAAGCCTGCATCAAGGGCAGCCCTAAAGAAAGGGGCAAAAAAATATCACCAAAAGTTAATGTAACCTGAGAAAGAAGTGTGGAAGAGAAGAGGGGCACTACTGACAGGAACTATCAAAATATATTTTAGGATCATGGGTTCCCCTCCTTTGCCCTTGTCTCTGAGTCACTGTGTGTTCTTTTCACCACTACAACCTAAAATGTCTGAGGCCTGGAACAATATGTTATCTCTGATTGCCCTTTTACTAAGATTTTCATAGATATTTTAAGAGGTTTCAAGTATAAATCTTCTTAGACTTCCAAATATTTGTTTAAAATATTAGAAGAAAACAATTTAAATGTTTTAGAACTTCTAACATGCCTACAACACATATCTGTGCCTAATGCTTAGAATGACTCAGAAGATTAGAAAGCCAGATTCTTTTCCATTATCGTTGTAGCACACTTAATAGCCTGTGCTGCCCTGCAAAAGTGAATGTACCTTCCTAAGCATTCCAGAACAAAGGGGCAGGTGGACATCTGAATAACTTCCCCATTATTTTACATAGCTGTCAAAGTTTTTATGTCAGTGTTGTTCACTCAACCCCAACCAACCTTGCAGCCTTTCTCTAACTTCTGCTTTATAACCTCCAACTGGATGGACAGATTGTAATTCACTCTTTGGATTTCATTTTTTCTAATGAACTGAGGATTAAGCAAGATTCAGCATTTGCTGCTGAAAATTTCAAATGGCTCTACTTTCCTACCTTAGTGAGTATAGTACAGGGAACAAGATTATGAAAGTGTGGCTGAATCTGTACAGGCTCCAGGACATTCTCAGGAATTTGATTTTTAAAAAATAAATACATAAATACCTGTTAACAGCTTGTTTTCTTGTCATTTGCCTCTTCCTTCTAAAAGGAGAGTGTAGCAGAAAATAAATAAATAAAACTGGTTAATTGAGAGTTCTGGTTAGTTAGCTTCCAATTAAGCAAGGCTTTATTATATTTCACAAAACATCTTCCTAAATTCTGCAGAAATTTTAGATAGGTTACACACAATGAAACACCAGCAGGGAAGAGCACATAGAAGGTAAGGAAGCCTGAATTGCTATTAGTGTTTTAAATATATGAATAATGTTAGCACATTTATAGTATAATCCCCATTGACTAAAGAATAATGTGAAATGTCATGTGGTTTAGGGCTTTTCCATATATGAAGACAAGGAAATAAGGTTATAGATTTCTGTTGAAGAAAGTGGCCTTGGGTCGTAACAATTCCAAAAAAATTCAGCAATATTATGTCTTTTCCCTCTCTCTCAAGAGCCTTCCTTCCCATCCCATTAGGTATTCCAACATTTTGGAGGGAAAAATCCCTTTCTAATTTTTTCTCATCTTTTATTTGGCCAACAGGATGATGAAAGTAAGCCAATATCAATGTTGTGCTTATTTCCTAAACATGGAGCCATTGATCTCCGACAGATCACTATATACATTTTTCTGGAGCATACTGAATTATCTTACATCTTCCTCACAAGGGTTACACATGCACATTCACACACACACACACACACACACACACACACATACACACACACACAGTCATACATACATCCACACAAAAGAAATTAAACACATACAAAAGAGATCCATTTTAAAAAACACATAATTAGCCTTGTTAACAAAATAATAATTCTTTCCAGCAGTGCAGTAACTCCCAGTGTTCTCCAATCCTTTAATAAAGAACAGTGAAATCTGAAATGACATGCAAAAAAACCTGTGAGGACTATAATGTGGTTCTTTTAACCCTTAATGTACTTCTTAGTAATACAGAAATGGGAATCTTCCTATAATGCCCACTACAAGTATATGTGGTTAGTTCATAATCTTTTTGTTGAACAAAAATGAAAATATCATCTGTTTTGTTTTGTTTTGTTTGCTTTTGAAAAGCAACTGTTTCTCTGCTCAAAGTCTGTAGAGAGCGTTCTAAAAAAAATGAAAATATATCTGGGGTTGCTGGGGAGAGGAGGTAAGAGTGAAGGTGAGCCTTTTTTCACCTACTCTTACGTTCTGTCACTCCACTGCCATAACTATTTGATTTTGCTTTACATCTCACTCACCCAACCTCTTCTGAGGTGACACTGTTCTTAAATAAAATATAATCATACACACCAAGTCAGTGATAATGCATCCTTCCTTATTTTAATGGGCTATATATGACTGGATTTGAGGGCACTTTTTCAATTTTACCAAAGGTCCGTCTCTTTTTTAACAATAAAACTTTCTAAGCACAACAAACTTTTTGGCTACCACTATATATATATACATATATATATGTATATATATATATATGTATTATATATAATTATATATGTATTATATATAATTATACTATATAAATATATATATAATTATACTAATCCTCACCAAAATCAAAATCATTTACATCTCCTATGGCATGAGTTTCATAGGTTAAACTTAGACTCTGAAATCACTGACTACAGAAACATTCGTGTTAGAATTATTCAATGAATATATAAACACCCATGAGTTAACTGTCCTTTTATTACAATTTAAAACTTACTCAGAAAATTAGGAGTTTACCTTGATATTTGAAAATTTCTCATTTATCTTGTCCAATGTAAGGAATGTACTTTACAATAGTGCTTAACAAACTAGCTATAACTCCAGGGCTTTAAGGCCTACAAGTTAAATAGGTATATTTTGTTTTTGACATTCTAAGTAAAATGTGACTTCTATACTTCTGAATTTGTTCTTTTAGTGATATCAATTAACTCATTTTAGTTTTCCTTATACTTTGCCAAATAATCAACATTTTGGAAAACTTTATTGAACAAGCAGATGATGATACTAATATTATCAGCTCAGTACAGAATAGGTTATAATGTGAAAAAAAATCAGCTGGGTTCCCTGGAGTTGGCCCAAAATGTTTTGCATTCCTTCTATTTCCTCTTTGTCTACTAAAGTTTTCTTTTTGCTGCCCCTCTCCACTTCTGATTCTGGCTGTGAAACAAAAGTCATGATGAAGAGGCCTGAAATTTACTAAAATGTGTCTTTGTGGCTGACATAACATATGTTCACATTCTTATAAAGCCACTAACAAAACAAGGGTTACACACAGTCAAGAACGTTGTGGCAGATACAATATACAATATACAACTACCACCAACAGAACTATTAGCAACTGAGATTTTACAACATATGGTGGTAAGCAGTGAGGGTTCTCTACACAACTCACTAGTTCCAATCATCATCATGATTGTACCACATTAGGACATTGATTAACCTTACTGTAGAGAGAGCCTTCCCATATGCACAAGTTATGACTAGAAGGTGATTCTACTCTGGCTGAGACCCAAGAAGTTAATAATTGAGAGCTGGTTTTATTTAGAATTAGTCAAGGTCATTTTTACCCTGTATCACTGATAAATAAATTTTCATACTTTGATTCTTCCAACTTTGGGCATGTGAATGTGAAGCTCAACAAAGTTAACGACAGTGATTGCTACCCAGCATGCTCATCTTTGATTGCAGTCAGTTTAGTATAAGAATCAGAGATATGATATTCTCACTTTTGAAACCTAAATTTACCCCACAAAATCTCATTTAATAATATAGAGAAACAGCATGCGAGACACATGACAGGAGGCAATAAAATACCACATAATAAGGAGTCCAGTTAAAATGTCAGGCTCATTTAATTTAAGTATTTAGGTCCTTTTAGGATAAATTTAAAAATCACTATCTAATATCACATATTATGTTCAGCCTCTGATGTGAAGTAAACTAAAGAGATTGTTCCTTTAACCGATGCTTCAAACAAAGGAAAGTACTTCAAACAGAGCATTTTAAAGATACAGTCAAGTTTTGGAATTATCTACTGCAATGGATTTCAAACTGGATTCTAAAGAACTTCAGTGAAACTGCTAATGTATACTAGAAGGAAAAATAAAGGGAGCAATTCTCTTATATCCTTTCATTAGTGCAGCTCTTCCTTTTCCTATGTGATATAATGGGGGTGCCTGAACTGCTTTGGTTAACCACCTACCACCACCACCACCATTTAACAGACGAGGAAATTCTCCCGAGATGTTCAATTATTTGGCCAAAGTCGCAGAGGAAGTTAGTGTCAGATCACCCAATATACCGACCTGAATGACAGCTACTGCCCCTACATTTTTAATCCTGCTTCCTTCCTCTATTGTATATTAGAGAACCACTTCTTTAATGTCCTCCCAAAGACTGTCATATCTGTTTTATCCTCATGGGGACATAATAAGGTTGATAAACATTACATATATATTTAGATAGTAGAAGAGACAAGATTTGTGGCTCCCTTGATCTCTAAGCCAGTGATCTTTCTGTACAGAGCTTTAAAAATCAAAACAGTTTACATAAAATCTGAATTTCAATGTGCTTATACACTCTTGGTAGGAATGTAAATTAGTTCAGCCACTGTGGAAAGCACTTTGGGGATTTCTCAAAGAACTTAAAAAAGAACTACCATTTGACCCAGCAATCTCATTACTGGGCACATACCAAAGGAAAATAAATTTTTCTACCAAAAACACACATGAACTTGTATGTTCATCACAGCACTACTCATAATAGCAAAGACATGGAATCAACCTAAGTGCCTAGCAACAGGGAATGAATAAAGAAAATGTGGTATATGTATACCATGGAATATTACACAGCCATAAAAAAGAACAAAATCATGTCCTTTGCAGCAACATGGAAGCAGCTGGAGGCCATTATCCTAAGAGAATTAACACAGGGATGGAAAACCATATACTGCATCTTCTCACTTACAAGTGGGAGCTAAACACTGGGTACACATGGACATAAAGATGTCAACAATAGACACTGGGGACTACTAGACGTAGGGGAGAGGAAAGAGGAGCAAGGGCTGAAAAATTCCCTATTAGGTACTATGCTCTCTACCTGAGTGACAGGATCATTCACACCTCAAACCTCAGCAACACGCAATATACCCACGTAACAAACTTGCACACGTACCCCCCAAGTCTAAAACAATGTACTCCTGAATCTAAAATAAGGTTGAAATTTTTACTAAAAAGAGAGATCTGGCAATACTGGTTTCACATTCTTACTGGTTTGGCACAACTAGATGAAGTAGATTAGCAATGGCTACCCCATAGAAAGAGCATGCACTCTACTGTTCCCCACAGTTCCCACAATTTCTTATGACCTTATACCTGGCCCTCTTAATGAATTTATGTTGAATTTATGTTATTTCCAAGGTCCCAGGCAGAATATGAATTTTATGGCTGCTATTTTAAGGGTTATAGGTGTAATTTACCCAAATATCAATCAATTTCCCTAAAGAAAGTATGGGATTTCTGAAAACTTCCATGTGTGTGTAAGGTATTGACTGAAGGTGCACTAAGAGTGCTAAATCATCTGTCTACTTAAAAAAAAGTCATATGTACTTTTATTAATGAAGAAAGACAAGTCTTTGACCTTTGAAGTTGACATCCATATATATAGAATAGCACCTAAAGCAAGTTGCATCAGATAAACACAGATTAAATAAGAAACAAATTCTGATTACGCTCACAGATACAATATCATTCAGAGTAGAAGCTATATATTTAAAATTCGAAAAGATCGATAAAAATGTTCCCTATGCTTTGAAATGAAGTCAGCTGTTGACATATACTGCCATATTTTGGGGACTACTAAATTAGGTTTCGGTTGCCCCTCACACAGGTAATATCTTTTAGTCATGCAATTTATTTTTCTGGCCCAATACAATAAACAATGTCTATTTGCTAACAAAATGTAATAAATAAATGAAGTATAAGTCAAGCAATGCCTCCCCACCTCCCATCAGACATCATCAGTAGGAGATAAACTGCCAATAAATATGTGCTGGTAAAACTTTTAAAAGTTATCTTTGAAGATATGACCAAATCATGTTAACTGTTGCATTTCCACTGTTGGAACTTTTAAAGGTCTTTCCTCACTCTTAGATGATAACTTTATGCATCTTATATAACAACACTTGCTCCACAGCAGCTGGTTTAAAGGCATTTAATCACTTTAGGAATCCTGAAAAATGTTTGGCAAACATATATATTAACAGAAAAAAAAACCTGAGGATATCCTTATTTTAAAGATGTAAATTTAATAGCCTGTATATTTCAGGCCTATTTAAGTTTGTAGGAGGCATCCAAACAAACGCTTTGTCTGTTAAATCTCCAAACACATGATTTTTTGAACCAAGGCCCAGACAATTAAAACTGACCATTTGCTTCCTCTCAGAATTTTTTTTCTGTAATTATTTGGGAATAACAAAAACTTTGGTTATATTAAGTATTTGCTGCTTCTGATAAATTTTGATGCACACACTTGAGTCTTTTAAAAATCAGTGAGATTTAAAGTCAGAGTCAAGAGGAAAAACAAAAAAAATTGAATATGGGATGGGGTGGTGGTGAAGATAAATGGGCCTATGGAATTTTTTTACTAGTTTGTTTGTAGGAGATAGGGTTTTTGGTTATATATATACACTCTTGTATTAACATAGAGTGTCAATATAACTCAAAGAATGCAAGACCCTATGTCAATTGTCTCTGACAGATGATCCTTTATACAAACAATATTTTGTTGGTCCTGTCCGAGGAGCCTCAGCAGTTTCAATGATATTTCTCATATGTCCTACAAAAACAAAGAATATCAAAAATAGGATTACTGTTCACAGCATCAAATATCTTTTTCAAGGCAATGTTCATTTTAAAAAATAGAATAACTTGGTCTTCTCATGGTACAACAATAAGTGTTTCAACATGTGTGATATATGAATATATGTACCATCAAGCATGATGCCCATTAAATATCTTTAGTGGTACTATGGATGTATACCAACTAATATTTTCAATGATATTCTTCCACATATTCAAATTCAGTAAATATCAGTCACATACATAAACTGATTATTAGCTAATTTGCTTGAAATCATTTCTGTCGTATAAAGCTTTAAACGTTAAAATTCCTCAAAACCTTCATAAATTTTAGATCACTTAATGCTATGTCATCTTTGTCTACAATGTTTCTGTTGGAAATTTTTTATCTTTCAGTCTTGCTATTCATGTTTGTAGGTTTGGCTAGACATCATGGGTGACCTTTGAATTGTGTGCTTTGATCTGCATAGGGGTTCTAGCCAGCCTCCGGTAAGGGATTTTTCAGCACCATTACACTATTTATATTTCATGTCTTCCAGTCGATGATCATGTCCTGCTATTGTGTGTTCAGAATGACTCACAGAAAACACTAAAGAAATGCTTCAGAAGCCAAACAAAACATTTATGGTAGATATACTCTGCAGCCCTTAAAACGTTGGACAC
Source organism: Homo sapiens (assembly GCF_000001405.40). Lineage (NCBI taxonomy): Eukaryota > Metazoa > Chordata > Mammalia > Primates > Hominidae > Homo > Homo sapiens. Next base: position 86,370,350 of record NC_000023.11, on the reverse strand, counting down.
AATTACTGCTTTATCAGCTTTTAGCTAACTTTGTGTTTGATGGTTTGATATCACACTGAGACAGTAGTAAACTGGCTTACTTCCTAGTTTACTGCCTATGTGGAGAACTTGGTGTCAACTTCCAACCCTGAATTGCTCATTAAAATGATGTTTCCTTCCTAGCACTTATCACAATGTGTAATTATTTTACCTATTTACTTGTTTTAGGTCTACTTTTCCAATGACACTGTAAACTCCATGAGATAGTAGGTTAGGCTTTTTATTTGCTGTTTCATTCCATCAACCCACACAATGCTGGCATGCAGTAGTCATCAGTAAATATTTGTCAACTGAGATGAATTTTGACCTTGTGAAGGGACACTTTACCCTTATTCAAAATCATCACTGTACAGTCTTTAAGGTTATTTTTATAAAACATATTTTGAGAATGTATTTCTACTTTGCAGTGCTGATTAACATAATTAATTATGATACATGATTTGTATAAGAACAGCCATGGTGTTCTAGAATCTGAGTAAACTTTCTCTGAGTAGCCAAAGTTTATCAGAAACTTTATAAGTCCAAACTTATTGATGGCAGCAAATATACTGAATTATTGATTGGTAAAAATATAGATTCATTATAAAGCTATTCATGAAAATAAATAATGCTATAACATTTATTTGAATTATACCTTAACTTTTTCTAACATTTGGCAAATTGGTCTAATTAAGCTTAAATTAGATGTGAAAAGCAGTTCTGTAAGCAGAACTCAGCTAAGCTGTTTCTAAGAAAATGAGTTCATTTGCCAATTGATCATTCTGATAATCCTATCTGGTTTAGTGTAGCTGCAGATGAAGACAATCAAGCAGGGTCAGAGCAAAGGAATCTTGGCCTGGACATGCTCTTAATGTATTACTGGGAGTCAAAAATGGGAATGAAGAGGATTACCGATTTGAAAGTCCATTAAATCCCTTATATTCATCTCCTGACTTAATCCCTGACAAGGATTTTAAAATAAAATATTTTAAAATAGTCTAAAATAAAATATTTCAAAATAAGATAAATAAATGTATTTTGAAATCTATTTAAAATCTATTTTAAAATAAAATAAAATCCATGTTCCTTACCAATTAAGAGACCAGAGGCACATATTTAAAATTACAAATTATTATCTTTCAAAGCAATATATATAAGTTTGTTTACAGGTTCAAAATCTCATATTTAAATAATAATACCACTTGTTGTATAGTTTTACAGTTAACAGAGCATTTTCTCTTCATTGCCTAATAGAATAAAACTATTTTGTGCGCAAAAGTAAGTTTGAATCTTCATATATTTTCATATGTAATATATACATTAAAATTATATATGTAGAAAGTGAGATTGAAGAGTTTTTAATCTGATTCAGTATTCTACCACTTCTTGTTAATATTTATCTATGTGAATATGACTGAATTACTGTTTTATCTTGATGCTTTTTTCCTTAATAAGCTATGTGACTTTTATGCACTGCAAAGAATTAACTTAAGAATCAAAAAGGCTGAGCATAGTGGCTTACATCCGTAATCCCTCGAGACCAGGAGTTCATGACCAGCCTTGGCAACTAGCGCAACCCCTTCTCTGCAGAATTTTTTTGTAATTAGCTGAGCATGGTGGCACATGCATGTAGTCCTAGATACTCAGGAGGCTGAGGTGAGAGGATCGCTTGAGCCCAGGTATTTCAACCTGCAGTGAGCTATGATCGCACCACTGCACTCCAGCCTGGGTGACAGAGTGAAACCCTGTCTCAAAAAAAAAAAAAAAAGAAGAAGAAAGAAAGTAAAAATATTGACTATTGACGAAAGCTCTTCAAACATGCTTATAATTGATATCTAACAGTTTGCATACTGATCCCATAGAGGCCATATTTATCTTCACACCTTATCATAGCAGATTCTTAGTTCAATATTTATTCTATAAATGTTTAGTGATCATCAACTATGTACAAAAGGCTCTGTGCTATGGAGGATACAAAGAGAATACAAAGATCTTCAACCATAGTATCTTACATCAGGAATATTACGATCTAAAAAGAGAGAAATTATGACCACAAATGTAACATTGAATATCTGTGAGTGATAAGCACCACTTGATTTCCTGGTATACAGTAAATACTCAAATACATCTGATTAATGAATGTTGAATCCATGGGTGAAATTAAATTAAGTACTATAACAATTTATAAGATGAAAATATCACTTTTACCTGAAGTCGTCAGTGCAGTCACTATGGGGGAGGTAAAATTTGACTTGGGTCTTGAAGTAGGTTTTAAAGAACAAAGACTGAAAGAGGATAACAATGCTTTAGGAAATTAAAACTGACAAGATGCACAGAATGGATTGTTATAAGAGAGTGTGTAGGTGAGGAGACCAAGTAGGAGGTTACTTCAGGGTGGTGGAGATGAAAATCAAAAGGAAAGGACGTGTGCAACAGAAAGTCTAAAGCCAACATTAATATGATTTAAAGCCTGACTTATGGAAACTAAGTACAGAATGGAACAAAGGAGAACTCTGAGCTTATGACTTTGTTTCCATGAAAAATTATTTTCCAACTTTTGAACAACAGCCAATTCTGAACGTAACAGGGTTAACAGAAAAACACTGAACAAGGCATAAGGAAACTTGGGTATTGGTCCCGACTAGGCCATTAACTGTGTCACCATTAACCGTGTCACCATGAGCAAATTACTTCCCCTCTCGAGATCCCAGTATACTTCTCTGTAAAACCAAGGTTGAATGAGTTGATCTCTCCAGCCCATCACAGCTCAAAAACCCTGTAGTTCTCTGATTCCTAAATTGTTGGCTACCTGCCTACAATATAGGTAGATTACATTGAAAGTCTTCTGAGAGGTCAGTGATGGTTGCAGTTTAGTTGCCACTCCTGAGACATACCCTTTTTCCTCTGATTTAAAGTTATTGCCTGCCTGTTAGAGGTATTCAGCTAAGGGGCATTCTCTTCTATGTTTCAGAAAAGCACTCTCTGAAAAATCCTGTAGACATTTTCATTCATAGAATAAATCAGTAGTGCATTATTCTGTTTGCATGCTACAGAAAAATGGTCTTGAAAAGCTGAGAAGCTCCGATGTTTGTTTCAGCAAGTTTTTCTTCTAAAATTTATGCATCTCTTTTACAATAATCTATACTATAATAAAAAGACATTGTCTATCTCTATGTACATTGATATGTTTATATTATTTTCAATTAAATCTTAAATTTGCTCTTTAAAACTCACAGAAACTCAGGATTCTATCCTGTCTTCACAGCTCATATCCTAAGGCCAATCTAATTCTCTCTTTCAAATGCTGCATCTTTAAAAAAAATATGGTGCATTAGTCCATTTTGCTTTGGTATAAAGGAACACCCGAGACTGGGTAATTTATAAAAGAAAGAGGTTTATTTGGCTCACATTTCTATAGGCTGTACAAGAAACATAGTGCCATCATCTGCTTCTGGTGAGGCCTCCAGAAGCTTATAATCATGGTGGAAGGCAAAGGGGAAATAGGCATGTCACATGGCAAGAGGGGAAGCAAAAAGGGGGGTGGGGTCGCAGACTCTTCTCAACAACCAAATCTCATGTGAACTCATTACCATAAGTAGGGCACCACACCATTCATGAGGGATCTACCCCCACAGCCCAAACACCTCCCACCAGGACCCCCCTCCAGTGTTGAGAATCACATTTTGACATGAGATTTGGAGGGGACAAACATCCAAACTGTATCATATGGTAGCCAGAAATAAATGTAATATTCTAAGTGGGGTTATTAGGAATGATACAATCTCATTATAAGTCATGTAGCTATTTAGGTCTTTGCTATGACCATGCATTCAGGTAAAATCAAGGCTGTCATTTATCAAGAAAGTCTCAATTTAATTTTCATTTCTCCTCCAGGCAGTTAGTTTTATCTTGAACTTTCTGATTGGATAATTCTTACAAAAAGAGTGAATGAATTAGATTATTTGCCTAACAGTTCCACAGAGAAAAACATGCCACACCTACTGACTGCTAATTACTATCCCACTTCATCCTCCTTAGATAAAAGTAAATGGACATTAACTATATGTACATTTTCATCTATTAATATGTTCAACTATTACCTAACCCCATGAGTGTGCATTGATTTTCATCATTTAAAATGCCAAGCACCAAAAGGAAGACCCTTTGGTCTTCCATTTGGAAGCACCAAATGGATATCTCCTTGTAGTGTCTAGCAAAAGACAATGTACACAAAAGCACCTAATTATAGTGGTGTGAAAAGGTTGTTACAATGAACACTTAAAAGAGCTGTGAAACTTTCTGACCTCTACCTCTGCTGTGAATAAGTTACTATATTCCTTTCTAATAATAAAATCGGGTCAAATAACTTGCTAATCTTTGACACTGGTCACTTCATTTTTTAGACATACAAGTTGAATTATGACTCCTACCTCTCTGCTTACCTGGCAATTTGTGTGTGCCTCTGTTATAGAACTCAGTTACAGGCATGTCTCCCTCACTAGGCTTCAATTATTGAAAGGAAACAAAACCTAACTACTAAACACTGCCTGGAGAACAAGAAAAGTGCAAACATTATAAAACAGTACTAAAGCCTTTAGAAGACATGTGTTTGTTTAAAAGTCTTTGGGGCGATAGTATTGACTTCAAATATAACTATCCAGATAAAAGCTCATTTTTTCCAGGTCCTATATTAAGTCTTCAATGCAATGAAAACATGCTTTTTAATGGAAATTAAAAATTAATCTACATTTTTGTTATGCTTATTATTTCCCAAATACCGACGGATACTGTTAAAATCCTCATGAACAAAGTTTGAATTTTTTATATTCTTTGATTGTAATACTTTTTATCTTGTTGCAATTCCATACATTTTAAATTACAGGAAATTTCCTCCAACTGAAATGTCCTTCCCTAAAGATGATTGTATTCCTTTCACTCTTCTTTATTTAGTTTTCTGTTGTCTCAAAAGTGTACCACACTATCTGTTTTTTTTTTTACATGCAAGTTTTTCGCCTTTATCTCTTGATCTCAATCAAATTAAAGAATAATTTCCCCTTGGTGGAAGTCAATATACTGACACTGTCTTCTATATTAGGTATCAACTTTAATGTTTTAGCAAAATTGAACAAGTCCACCAATATGTCTCCAAATAAAATGTACAATATATGTGTATCCAGGGAGTTTATTGAAGTATAAATTTCTTAGCTGAATCCACGTTGAGGGTTATGATTAGAATTAAACAAGTACCTATGAAGATTGTTAGCCATTTCACTACCTAATATTTCCTGTTAGTCATTCTGGCTTTATGTCGCTAGTGGGTTTTATTCTACCTTTTCAGAAGCTATCTGTATTATTCCTTTTGTATAGTTACCCTTTTATCTTATCAATTACTAGAGGTTACTCCCGTAACTCTCTTCTAAAATAACACATGAGCATCTTCTTTATTCAAATATCTCTTCCAATATGCTCTCTTAAGTCTAAAACTTCAACAGGCATGTATTTTTTTCCCTAAAGTTTCATCAGTTCTCATGCCAAAGGGTTTTAAAGAAAACCGTTACTATCCACTTATCTCTTAATTCAAACAAATTTTTAAAAGAAAGAAAAAATGAAAGAAAAATGCGAGAATAGAAGAAAGAAAAGTCTTCCTCTTTCCTGTTGTGTGAATATTAATTACTGCTAATGGAGATGATTGAATACTCCGTAGCATGGGGTGTGGTTTCTACCTTCCCATCACATCATGCTTCTCCTCACGTCTCTAAGGTCACCCCTTGTTTAGGATTCCTTAGCTTTACCTTCTTTCTCTTCCACGTTGTATAAAGTGTTAACAGTCTTCACACCGCAATCAAGGAATTTCGGATTGCTTCCTCATCTCTCCAGGGCAAATAGGCCTTCCTTTATTTCCCCTCTACGCATTGTTAGCAATACTGTATGAGATTCTTAGTCTTTTACTCTGCTTATTTGTGAGGCTCTTGGTCTTATAGTGATCACATTTTGAAGAATGTCTTTGTATCTGTGAATGCCTTCCCTTAAAAATCACATTAAGTGGCAATGAAAGACCACCCACTTATTCTGAAGATGCATTCGTAGTATGAAACAATACATTTTTGCCATTCTCACAAATAGCATGCCCTTATTACCTCACACTCACCATTTACCCATAACAATTGCGGCAAACAAAAATAAAAAAATTAAATAGCAATGCCATGCAAAATAGGCAGACAGGTCTTACATTCTTTACATACAAATTACAGAGCATTTAGGAGATGGAGAAAAATGCTCAAAGGTGTTTAGTGTCTTGGCTTTCTTTTAAAGCATCATTTTCTTTAAAGGCTTTTAATAGGAAAGAAACTCATTTCCCATTTTAATAGTCTTTAAGTGATAAAGCCAAAAAATAAAAGAAACCCCAGGAGCAGCAGCAGAGGATAATTTTTTAACTATAGGAAACAAAATGTTTTTAAATTAGAAATGGCTGTTAATCAAATAGCTTTTAAAATTTTCTTTACATACTATTATGGTTCATCCATTTCATCTGCTCAACATAATATGTACATAGAATGTAAACCTACATACAAATATATATGTGTTCCAACCAGATAAATAATATCTTAATACCAGATCCCACGATATTTCCAAACGATTTTTCAGAAGAAAATATAATTTTATGATTAACTGTCATCATTAAAATTTCTATTTTGTTGTCTTACTAGAAGAAACTGATGAAAGCAATCATGTATATTTACAATTGAGTACAGATAGAAACAAGCTGTCTTTATAGCAAACTTTTGAAAATCAGTTATAATATACTTTTGACAACTGTTAAATTGTTATAATTATGAAACTTATCATGTTGTCATATGACCGTACCAATAGGATCACACACATGATCAAATTATTTTAATGGTAATCCTATAATATTTCAGTAAAAACTTTTGCAAGATGTGGAGTTGTAAGAAGGATCATTACCAGACGGGAAATTTTCTTTGCAATTTATTTGAAACACCAAGAACACCTGAAAAGTAACAATGAAGCATAAGGTCAATTTATCTTTCTCTAATTGCTATCTTTTAAAGAAAAACTTTACAAAAATCTCACTACAGATAAAGCACCTAAATTTGCCACTGAAACCCTAACTTATTTGATATACCTTAAATATAATCTAAACATATATTACATGTGTAACTGGAAAATTTTTACTAAGGAAAAATACTACTAAATAGGAGTAAATTCTAAACAATATGAATTATTGTCACATATTTTTTCCCTAAAATCAACTTTTCTTTTGATTGAAAATTGGTCAATATTATGAACTAGATTCTGGCATTATTTTCCTATATTTAAAGTACCCACAGTGCTTTGAAGCACTGAGTTTCAAGCCTATGCCACTTTACTAAAGGATTTTTGCTACTAATGAACTGCTCCTCTCAAAGCTATTATTATGATATCTAGACTACTAGTATTATCACAATTAAAAGTAAGCCCATCTGTTAAAACTAGAATATGGTACCGGTACCGAAAAATCACCTGTTTAGCAACTGGCACATCTACAATATTTTAGAGCTACTATCTTTTCAAAGTTCAGTAGCTTGGTGACATGTTAGACTAATTAGCAGTTCTGTTTGCACCGGCTCTAGAAAAGGGAGAGATTAAATGTCTAAGAAAACATTAAGTGTATGTTTTCCTTTCACTTAAGAAAATTATTATAATGTGTGGGGGAATGCCATGGAATTAGGAATCTGCTGTCATTTCCAAACAAATTCCCCCAAGTTAATTGTGGAATTGTGTTTTAATTGTGGATCTCCTGTGAACTTTTTTCAAAACAATCCTCCTTTTTAAAGTTTTCTATTTTATTTAGTTTATCACCTTAAATTTGTTTTGATTTCTTTCAATGGTTTTGGCTAAAGCTAATCACCTCTACATTTTAGCCAATTTTTTTAAGTTTATTTTTTGGCCATCTGCTTTTTCCGTCAGCTCAGTTTTGTGTGCATGCGTGTGCAGTTTAATAATTTATAAAATTAATGCCACTAAGAGGCTCTCATTTTCTCTCTGAATTTATACCTTAGAGTAGAACTAAAATCCTGGACTAAAAGTTCCTCATTCATCTTCATCCTGGTCCATAATAACTGTCCCACTTCTGACTGACTTTTTGTTTGAATATTTAGGTTTAAACAGTATCTAGCATTGTTCTAAATCCTAACATTTGCTAAACATTGAGTAAATACTTACTGAGTGAAGAGGGACAGTAATCTAAGGATTTTTGGGATATAATCTCAGTATGTTTTTCTACAGGCATAATCATTTATAGGTATTAAAGAGATTTACTAATATAGATGAAATTTTACTATTTAATAATTATTGCAATTGTAACTGTCAAAATAACAACTGATAAGTTAATTTTCTTATTTCTGAATTTTAAATGAGTTTGGAGGTCTCCAATATATTATTTATAAAGGTTGCAAGATAAATAACTTTGCATCTGCCATATTGAACTTAATACCCAGAGGAGAAAAATAGATATATTTTATTCTACTTCCTCCTGTTCAACTGAATTTTCATTTCGAAATATTTGTAATTCTGTCAAATGATGTAAGTTTAACACAAACTGCACACCATGTTAAGATATTTTACAAAAGAATACAATTTATTAAGTTTATATCTTTATGTAATAGTACAAATATGCTTATACTGTTTGAATAAAAATGTATTATAAAGTCTTAATGGCATCAATTAAATTCACTGTATCTTGTCAACTTGCAAATAAAGCCCCTAAACACTTAACTTAAATATAAAACTACCTTATTTTATGGAGAAATAAAATATTAACAGAATGAATGATAACCTTACTATGATGAGACACACTGAAACACCACTGGATTGCTCGAAAGGTAGATCCTGTCATGAAATACCAAGATAATTGTTGGAGTTCTCTTAGAAATATTGGTATAAAATAATGAAATGAAAATTATTCAACTGCATCTTTTATTTTGCTCATATGTAAACTGAAAAATGTATCATTATTCCAATAACCATCGTCTTCAGATATAAATCATATTTTTAAAACCTATGATATTGAGAAATATTCATAATTTGCCTTTGGCTACCTTAAACACTCCATTCAAAACAAAGATAAGCAGTAGGTCTACACACAAAATAGTAAAATTATATGCATTTATACAAGTTACATATTGTTTGCTGAAAAAAATGCTATAAAAGCAGGTACACTTTAAAGAGTTTTTCAAATTTTAGCAGATTGCCAGATGCAGTAGAAAAAAGATAAGCTGTTCTTTAACTTCTGAAAGTTTATTGCAGGTTTTATATGTGTTTCAGTTCAATAATGTTTGTGTTAATGGTAGGTTTTTTTAGGGTTCTTCAGAATAACAATTAAAGCATATAAGCATATACTATAACTCAAAATATGCTCAGCAACAAAAAAATGCACATTCTGGATTATCACTCAAAAATAAATATTAAAGTACCATTAAAATATTATTTAATATATAAGTTTCATTTCCCTTAATGCTATTAGGGCAAAAATGTTTTTTTAAAATACATTGGTTATTTATCTGAGTTCAAAATGTTTGTCTGGGAAACCATTTAATTTTGTTTTACGAAAATTTTTTACTATCAAAGAGATGATAAAGATAGATTCAATTCTTCTCAGGAAAGGATAGGACATGGATTTAAATCAAAAAGGAATGTACATTAGCTGCAGGACTTTGGAAGAATCATATACAATTACATAAATGTGTCGATAGGGTGAAAGCATGTATTGGGTTGATATGATAAAATGTAAAAGTGTGTTTTTTCCTTAAATATTTATAGGCTTCTCAAACACTGAAAAATTCAATGACCTTATTTTCTTGGGGAAAAACAAAAGAAAAAGATATTAATGAGAAATGTCCATTTTAATATATGTGCTTGAATATATGTATATGTGTATATGTTACCCTCAAGTTCCAAATATCATTCCCACAGTGTTTTATAGAAAAATGCCCAACAGAATGAAAGTGTGGGGCATAAGGGGAAAATCCTTGGGAAAGAGATCATTCTGTAGGCTGGCAATAATGATGATATATAAACATCTGATTCTGTGTTACTGTCATATAAAGGATTATAGTGCTTAAAAGAAAAAAACATATAGATGTATAACACACTGTTCTGGATCCTATATAAATGAGTAATATTTAATTAGAGGGAAACAATCTTTGAGAAGCCAAAAATCTAAAATAAACAGAGTAGTCCAGGCCACCTAGGGAGACCCCATCTCTACAAAAATAAAAATAAAAATTATCCAGGCATGGTGACACACATGTATGGTCCCAGCTACTCAGGAGGCTGAGGTGAGGGATAGCTAGAGCCCAGGAGGTCAAGGCTGCAGCGAGCGGTGATCTAGTTGCATGCACCACTGTACTCCAGCCTGAGCATCAGAGCAAAACCCTGTCTCAAAATAAAAATAAAAAATAAAATGAACAGAAGAATCAAATGTACTCGCTGGGCAGGCAGAAGGAATTTTGGTCAGCTGAAGTCTGAACTTAACACTTTCTTAGCTTTCTCTTAGTTTTCTTTTTTTGTTTTTGTTTTTTTAACTGAGACAGGGTCTTGCACTGTCACAAGGCTGGAGTATAGTGGCACAATCATGGCTCACTGTAGTTTTGACCAGCTGGGCTCAAGCGATTCTCTCCCCTTAGCCTCCCAAGTAGCTGGGACTACAGACGTGCACCACTGTACGCAGTTAATTTTAAAAATTGTTGGTATAGATTGGGTCTCACTATGTTGACCAGGCTGGTCTCCAATTCCTGGCCTCAACCAATCCTTTGGCCTTGGCCTCCCAAAGTGCTGGGATTACAGGTTTGAGCCACCACACCTGGCCTCTCTTGGTCTTCTATGTGACTATACAAGCTTAGGCTTTCTTTCCCTGATCTAATGCTATTAGAAAATCGTGCACTCTAGGATAATACAAAATGTCACAGATTATGGAAGGTGGCTATTTTTAATGTATAGTATCAAAATGTAGTTCAGTTCACAGGTGACATTTCATATGAAACTAGTATTGCAATATATTTTTATCTAAATTTTTCATTTGACTTTATATTTTATTTTGAATTTGATAATAGCATTTATATTTCTCACCAGAATCAATATAAATTAATTTTAATTGTAATAAAATTACCTGTAAGAAATTAAAGGCACTCTTTAATTAAATACACACATGCACACACAAACACACACACACACACACACACACACACACGACAAAATATAATGGTTCTATTTCTCCCTTTCTCTGATGCCACATTCTTGACCAATACATAACATCTACCAACGTATCACATTCCACTGGCTATACAACCTGGCTCTGTGACAGTAGCTCCTCATTTTCAAATCTGATCTGAAAGTTTTTTAAACTTCAATGATATTCTGCAGGCCTAGCTTCTTATCCAAGGAGCTCAAGGTTCCCTCCAAATTCAGTTACTAGCATATGTCAGATATAGGCCAGTGAAAACTGGCCTTGTATGGAAAGTGCATCAGATTTCAGTCTTAAACAACATGTTTATATCATCCTTTCACCAGTCACTTGCAAAACTGAGACTAGAATTTTTTTTTTCTTTTACCAATCAAGAATAAACAAAGATGAGCTGGGAGAAAGAAATAGCTTCTATCAGGAATTTTTCCACTACCTAACCTTGCCATCTTGCCACTGGGTATTGCTTCTGGCCAAGATTCTCCTGCTGAGTTTGCTCCCCAGCAATTGTAGGTAGCCTAATGATAAGAGGGTACAAAGAAGAGGATTATCAGCAGGGCTTGTAGGGGCATTGCCATCACTCCATAATTGCTGCCCAGCTCTCTCTGGGATTGTGTGTGTGTGTGTGTGTGTGTGTGTGTGTGTGTGTGTGTGTGTGTGTGGCGGGGCTGGGATGGCATAATTTGGAAAATACATTTCTATCTCAGGTAAATCTACTTTGAATCGTACTTAAAACTAAATAAGAACAAGCCCGTTTAAGCAAAGGAGAAAGTGATTGGAAGAAACACTTACATATACTCAGAGAACTCTAGCTAGAATACAGATCTAAACTGATTTTTTTCTATCTCTTACAACTTGGCTGAAAGACAGAATTATTTCTAATGAGATATTTTATATAGAAATATTGCTGTACAGCAAACATTAAATAGTGGACTACTCTTGAGCTTGCTCAAATTATAATATTTAACAAAATCCTGCAGGAAAATACAAGGTGATGAAGTGGGAGAGGACATGACAGGGAGGATGAAGAAAGATAAAACAGGGTGGGTGAAGAGGAGAGCAATCCAAAAATGTAGTGTTCCCATTACCTGTACACACCCACACACATTTTTTGTCTGCCCAACAAACTTCTAGTTGTCCTTGAAACTCAGCTCAAGTGCTGCTTTCTCTGTCCCTACAAGACTGACCTAAGCCCTTGATTGAAGAATGAATGGGAGAAGATAGTCATAAATACTTTTGTCTCATGGATATGCCAAATAAAACATGGAAATACACAAACAAGATACCTAGTAATATCCTTTCATCAGTTCACTCCATTTGATCAAGCACACGTGTGTATAACAAGTGATTTTTATCCTTTGATTTCCAGGTTAAAGAAAGAATGAGTTGGAAAGCATATATGTAATACTAAAACATTACCTTATTAAGGCTGTATGTTTGAATAAGCCCAGAAAAATATTTAATACAAATGGTATTGCTCTGTTCTAACTTATTAAAATACACGAAGAATGTCACATAACAGAATTTTACTCAAAGGATAAAAAACATTACCTTTGTAATATGACCCTAAAAGTTACACTAGCTTATGTAAGGAATACATTTATCTCTATGTTTCTTATGTTTTCTTGTAGAGAGCCCAGGTTGCTTCACATGTGAAAAACATTGTGTGCCCAACCAGTTTAAAGCTCTATAATGCAGAAAACATGTTCTTTGTCTAGTCCCTAAAACTAAAACACAGAACTAAGTGTCAAGATATTTGTAATCCTATGTATTATGCGTAATAAAAATAACAAAAGCAGGAGTTTGATAAATACAAGTTTATTTATTAAAAAGCAAATACAGAATATAACTTTTAAAAGGCACAGAGGAAATCCACTCAGAGGACCATTTCAAGTAAGCTTGCATAGTTGGTTGTGTTTCTAACAATGATTTTGTGTTTTTTTGACTTTTTAGTAATGGTCATTCTTGCAGGAGTAAGTAACTTGGATGGAGCTGGAGGCCATTGTAAGTGAAGTAACTCAGGAATGGAAAATTCAATACAGTATATTCTCACTTACAAGTGGGAGCTAAGCTATGGGTATACAAAGGCATACAGAGTGATACAATGGACTATGGAGACTCAGAAGACAGAGAGTAGGGGAGAAAGGGATAAAAACCTACATACTAGGTACAGTGTATGCTACTCCAGTGATACGTGCACTAAAATCTCAGACTTCACCACTATACATTGCATCCAAGCAACCAAAAACCTCTTCTTGTACCCTAAAGCTAAGAAATTAACAAAATTCAAGAAAAGAAAGTAAAAAGACAGCTTGAAAAAATATTTTCAACTCATATATCTGCCAAGATCTAGCATTTTTTAATTTTTTTAAATAAATTACAGAACAACATGAAAAAATAAAAATAAAAATGATTTTGTGATTCCATGCTCATGGATAGGAAGAATCAATATTGTTTAAATGGCCATATTGTCCAAAGCAATTTACGGATTCAGTGCTATTCCTATCAAGCTATCAAGGATATTTTTCATAGAATTAGAAACAATTCTTCTAAAATTCGCATGGAACCCAAAACAAGCCCAAATAGCCAAAGCAATCTTAAGCAAAAAGAGCAAAGCTGGAGGCATCACATTACCCAACTTAAAACTATGCTACAAGGCTACAGTAATGAAAACAACATGGTACTGCTAAAAAAAACAGACACATAGACCAATAGAACAGAATAGAGAACTCAGAAATAAGGCCACACATCTACAACCATCTGATCTTCAACAAACCTAACAAAAACAAACAATGGGGAAAGGACTCCCTATTCAGTAAATGGTGCTGGGATAACTGGCTAGCCATATGCAGAAGATTGAAATTGGACCCCTTTCTTTCACCATATACAAAAATCAACTCAAGATGGATTAAATATTTAAATGTAAAACCTAAAATTATAAAAATCCTTGAAGACAACCTAGGAAATACTATTTTAGACATAGGCTCTGGCAAAGATTTCATAATGAACACACTGAAAGCAATTGCAAAAAAAGGAAATATTGACAAGTTGGACCAAATATTATATTAAAGAGCTTTTGCAAAGCAAAAAACCTATCAACAGAGTAAACAACCTACAGAATGGGAAAAAAAAATTGGCAAACTATGCATCTAACAAAGGTCTAATATTTAGAATCTATAAGGAACTTAAACAATTAAATAAGCAAAAAAGAAACAACCCCATTAAAAAATGGACAAAGGGCATGAACAGACCCTTCTCCAAAGAAGACCTTTACATGTGGCCAACAAGCATATGAAAAAATACTTAACATCACTAATCACTAGAGAAATGCAAATCAAAACCACAATGAGATACCATCTCACGCCAGTCAGAAAGGCTATTATTTAAAACTCAAAAAATAGGCTGGGTGTGGTGGCCCGCACCTGTAGTCCCAGCTACTTTAGGGCTGATGTAGGAGGATTGCTTGAGCCCAGGAGGTGGAGGCAGCAGTGAGCTGAAATTGCGCCACTGCACTTCAGCCTGGGTGACGAAGTGAGATCCTGTCTCTAAATGAATAAATAAGTGAAAAAATAACAGTGCTGTCAAGGTGGCAGAGAAAAGGGAATGCTTATACACTATTGGTCAGAATGTAATTAGTTCAGCCACTGTGGAAAGCGGTTTGGAGATTTCTCAAAGATCATAAAACAGAACTGCCATTCAACCCAGCAATCCTATTACTGGGTATACACCCAAGGGAATGTAAATCATTCTACCATAAAGACATATACACACATATGCTCATCGCCACACTATTCACAATAGCAAAGATGTGTATATGTATGGACACCATGAAATACTATGCAGCCATAAAAAGAACAAGATCATGTCCTCTGTAGCAAGATGGATGGAGCTGGAGGCCATTATCCTAAGCAAATCAATGCAGGAACAAAAAACCAAATACCACGTATGTTCACGTATAAGTGGGAGCTAAACATTGTGTACACATGGACAGAAAAAAGGGAACAATAGATACTGAGGCCTACTTGAGGGTGGAGGGTGAGGATCAGAAAACTACCTATGAGGTACTATGCTTATTACCTAGGTGACAAAATAACTGTACACCAAATCCCCAAAACACACAATTTACACATGGAATAAAATTGCACATATACCCTCTAAACATAAAATAAAAGATAGAAAGAGAATATTTAAAATATAGTGAAATAACTGTAGTGTTTTATTTTGTTTTGTTTTGTTTTTTTTTTTCATTTATTTTTTTTTATTTTATTTTTTTTATTATACTCTAAGTTTTAGGGTACATGTGCACATTGTGCAGGTTAGTTACATATGTATACATGTGCCATGCTGGTGCGCTGCACCCACTAATGTGTCATCTAGCATTAGGTATATCTCCCAATACTATCCCTCCCCCCTCCCCCAACCCCACCACAGTCCCCAGAGTGTGATATTCCCCTTCCTGTGTCCATGTGATCTCATTGTTCAATTCCCACCTATGAGTGAGAATATGCGGTGTTTGGTTTTTTGTTCTTGCGATAGTTTACTGAGAATGATGATTTCCAATTTCATCCATGTCCCTACAAAGGATATGAACTCATCATTTTTTATGGCTGCATAGTATTCCATGGTGTATATGTGCCACATTTTCTTAATCCAGTCTATCATTGTTGGACATTTGGGTTGGTTCCAAGTCTTTGCTATTGTGAATAGTGCCGCAATAAACATACGTGTGCATGTGTCTTTATAGCAGCATGATTTATACTCATTTGGGTATATACCCAGTAATGGGATGGCTGGGTCAAATGGTATTTCTAGTTCTAGATCCCTGAGGAATCGCCACACTGACTTCCACAATGGTTGAACTAGTTTACAGTCCCACCAACAGTGTAAAAGTGTTCCTATTTCTCCGCATCCTCTCCAGCACCTGTTGTTTCCTGACTTTTTAATGATTGCCATTCTAACTGGTGTGAGATGATATCTCATAGTGGTTTTGATTTGCATTTCTCTGATGGCCAGTGATGATGAGCATTTCTTCATGTGTTTTTTGGCTGCATAAATGTCTTCTTTTGAGACACGTCTGATTGGTGTACCTGAAAGTGATGTGGAGAATGGAACCAAGTTGGAAAACACTCTGCAGGATATTATCCAGGAGAACTTCCCCAATCTAGCAAGGCAGGCCAAAGTTCAGATTCAGGAAATACAGAGAACGCCACAAAGATACTCCTCGAGAAGAGCAACTCCAAGACACATAATTGTCAGATTCACCAAAGTTGAAATGAAGGAAAAAATGTTAAGGGCAGCCAGAGAGAAAGGTCGGGTTACCCTCAAAGGAAAGCCCATCAGACTAACAGCGGATCTCTCGGCAGAAACCCTACAAGCCAGAAGAGAGTGGGGGCCAATATTCAACATTCTTAAAGAAAAGAATTTTCAACCCAGAATTTCATATCCAGCCAAACTAAGCTTCATAAGTGAAGGAGAAATAAAATACTTTATAGACAAGCAAATGCTGAGAGATTTTGTCACCACCAGGCCTGCCCTAAAAGAGCTCCTGAAGGAAGCGCTAAACATGGAAAGGAACAACCGGTACCAGCCGCTGCAAAATCATGCCAAAATGTAAAGACCATCGAGACTAGGAAGAAACTGCATCAACTAATGAGCAAAATCACCAGCTAACATCATAATGACAGGATCAAATTCACACATAACAATATTAACTTTAAATATAAATGGACTAAATTCTGCAATTAAAAGACACAGAGTGGCAAGTTGGATAAAGAGTCAAGACCCATCAGTGTGCTGTATTCAGGAAACCCATCTCACGTGCAGAGACACACATAGGCTCAAAATAAAAGGATGGAGGAAGATCTACCAAGCCAATGGAAAACAAAAAAAGGCAGGGGTTGCAATCCTAGTCTCTGATAAAACAGACTTTAAACCAACAAAGATCAAAAGAGACAAAGAAGGCCATTACATAATGGTAAAGGGATCAATTCAACAAGAGGAGCTAACTATCCTAAATATTTATGCACCCAATACAGGAGCACCCAGATTCATAAAGCAAGTCCTCAGTGACCTACAAAGAGACTTAGACTCCCACACATTAATAATGGGAGACTTTAACACCCCACTGTCAATATTAGACAGATCAACGAGACAGAAAGTCAACAAGGATACCCAGGAATTGAACTCAGCTCTGCACCAAGCAGACCTAATAGACATCTACAGAACTCTCCACCCCAAATCAACAGAATATACATTTTTTTCAGCACCACACCACACCTATTCCAAAATTGACCACATAGTTGGAAGTAAAGCTCTCCTCAGCAAATGTAAAAGAACAGAAATTATAACAAACTGTCTCTCAGACCACAGTGCAATCAAACTAGAACTCAGGATTAAGAATCTCACTCAAAGCCGCTCAACTACATGGAAACTGAACAACCTGCTCCTGAATGACTACTGGGTACATAACGAAATGAAGGCAGAAATAAAGATGTTCTTTGAAACCAACGAGAACAAAGACACCACATACCAGAATCTCTGGGACGCATTCAAAGCAGTGTGTAGAGGGAAATTTATAGCACTAAATGCCTACAAGAGAAAGCAGGAAAGATCCAAAATTGACACCCTAACATCACAATTAAAAGAACTAGAAAAGCAAGAGCAAACACATTCAAAAGCTAGCAGAAGGCAACAAATAACTAAAATCAGAGCAGAACTGAAGGAAATAGAGACACAAAAAACCCTTCAAAAAATCAATGAATCCAGGAGCTGGTTTTCTGAAAGGATCAACAAAATTGATAGACCGCTAGCAAGACTAATAAAGAAAAAAAGAGAGAAGAATCAAATAGACACAATAAAAAATGATAAAGGGGATATCACCACCGATCCCACAGAAATACAAACTACCATCAGAGAATACTACAAACACCTCTACGCAAATAAACTAGAAAATCTAGAAGAAATGGATACATTCCTCGACACATACACTCTCCCAAGACTAAACCAGGAAGAAGTTGAATCTCTGAATAGACCAATAACAGGCTCTGAAATTGTGGCAATAATCAATAGTTTACCAACCAAAAAGAGTCCAGGACCAGATGGATTCACAGCCGAATTCTACCAGAGGTACAAGGAGGAACTGGTACCATTCCTTCTGAAACTATTCCAATCAATAGAAAAAGAGGGAATCCTCCCTAACTCATTTTATGAGGCCAGCATCATTCTGATACCAAAGCCAGGCAGAGACACAACCAAAAAAGAGAATTTTAGACCAATATCCTTGATGAACATTGATGCAAAAATCCTCAATAAAATACTGGCAAACCGAATCCAGCAGCACATCAAAAAGCTTATCCATCATGATCAAGTGGGCTTCATCCCTGGGATGCAAGGCTGGTTCAATATACGCAAATCAATAAATGTAATCCAGCATATAAACAGAGCCAAAGACAAAAACCACATGATTATCTCAATAGATGCAGAAAAGGCCTTTGACAAAATTCAACAACCCTTCATGCTAAAAACTCTCAATAAATTAGGTATTGATGGGACGTATTTCAAAATAATAAGAGCTATCTATGACAAACCCACAGCCAATATCATACTGAATGGGCAAAAACTGGAAGCATTCCCTTTGAAAACTGGCACAAGACAGGGATGCCCTCTCTCACCGCTCCTATTCAACATAGTGTTGGAAGTTCTGGCCAGGGCAATCAGGCAGGAGAAGGAAATAAAGGGTATTCAATTAGGAAAAGAGGAAGTCAAATTGTCCCTGTTTGCAGACGACATGATTGTTTATCTAGAAAACCCCATCGTCTCAGCCCAAAATCTCCTTAAGCTGATAAGCAACTTCAGCAACGTCTCAGGATACAAAATCAATGTACAAAAATCACAAGCATTCTTATACACCAACAACAGACAAACAGAGAGCCAAATCATGGGTGAACTCCCATTCACAATTGCTTCAAAGAGAATAAAATACCTAGGAATCCAACTTACAAGGGACGTGAAGGACCTCTTCAAGGAGAACTACAAACCACTGCTCAAGGAAATAAAAGAGGACACAAACAAATGGAAGAACATTCCATGCTCATGGGTAGGAAGAATCAATATCGTGAAAATGGCCATACTGCCCAAGGTCATTTACAGATTCAATGCCATCCCCATCAAGCTACCAATGACTTTCTTCACAGAATTGGAAAAAACTACTTTAAAGTTCATATGGAACCAAAAAAGAGCCGCATTGCCAAGTCAATCCTAAGCCAAAAGAACAAAGCTGGAGGCATCACACTACCTGACTTCAAACTATACTACAAGGCTACAGTAACCAAAACAGCATGGTACTGGTACCAAAACAGAGATATAGATCAATGGAACAGAACAGAGCCCTCAGAAATAATGCCGCATATCTACAACTATCTGATCTTTGACAAACCTGAGAAAAACAAGCAATGGGGAAAGGATTCCCTATTTAATAAATGGTGCTGGGAAAACTGGCTAGCCATATGTAGAAAGCTGAAACTGGATCCCTTCCTTACACCTTATACAAAAATCAATTCAAGATGGATTAAAGATTTAAACGTTAAACCTAAAACCATAAAAACCCTAGAAGAAAACCTAGGCATTACCATTCAGGACATAGGCGTGGGCAAGGACTTCATGTCCAAAACACCAAAAGCAATGGCAACAAAAGCCAAAATTGACAAATGGGATCTAATTAAACTAAAGAGCTTCTGCACAGCAAAAGAAACTACCATCAGAGTGAACAGGCAACCTACAACATGGGAGAAAATTTTCGCATCCTACTCATCTGACAAAGGGCTAATATCCAGAATCTACAATGAACTCAAACAAATTTACAAGAAAAAAACAAACAACCCCATCAAAAAGTGGGCGAAGGACATGAACAGACACTTGTTTTGTTTTTGAGACAGTGTCTCGCTCTGTAGCCCAGGCTGGAGTGCAGTGTTGTGATCTCGGCTCACTGCAACCTCCGCCTCCCAGGTTGGAGCAATTCTCCTGCCTCAGCCTCCTGAGTAGCTGGGACTACAGGCATGCGCCATCAGGCACGGCTAATTTTTGTATTTTTAGTAGAGACGGGGGGTTTCACCAGGTTGGCCAGGCTGGTCTCAAACTCCTGACCTCAAGTGATCAGCCCACGTCAGCCTCCTAAAGTGCTGGGATTACAGGCGTGAGCCACCACACCTGGCCTGAACTAACTGTAGTGTAAATAAATCTAATATTTCAATTTAAAAATAAAAATGATTGTGAGGCATTAGATGCATTAGAACCATGATGAGAAGAATCACAGAAAAATTAAAAAAAAAAGATTACTGTAAAATGCAGCTTCCCATTCAAATTTACCACCTTAATCAGAATGAGATCAATTTGATGTATAAGAGTATTTAACCAGATTATCTTGGAAAGCTCAACTTGTTCTTGTCCATTTTAAGAATTAACAGGAACCAACGTTAATACGTTAATAACTGACTAAACTCGAGCTGTGTTTATGAATGGGAAGGGTTCAGGGAAGTGCTGGGAGGAGAAGGGCACGGTCCCTGGCGAGGGCTCCATTTCTGGGCCTGTGCCCTAGGACCCAGGTGAGGACAGGCACTCCTGTTTTCGCACCCAAAGGTTGCATTTTCCAAGACAACCCTGGCCTGCCACGCCCCCATCCTGTGCCTATAAAAACCCTGAGACCCTAGCGGGCAGAGATACAAGCAGCTGGATGTAGAGAGGAACACACAGGTGGAAGAGCACACCAACAGGTACCGGCTGACACCAGCAGGCCATCAACCGGCGAGGCGAAATGATGCGGAGTTTGGCCCAGGTGGTCGGTGAGAGCCTGACAGCTGGGTGGCCTGACTCCAGGGGAAAATCACTTTCCCACTCCATCCCCCTTCTGGCCTCCCCATCCACCTCGCAGAGAACTACCACTCAATAAAAAACCTTGCACTTAAATTCTCCAAGCCCACGAGTGATCCAATTCTTCTGGTACACCAAGGAAAGAACCCTGGGATACAGAAAGCTCTCTGTTCTTGTGATAAGGCAGAGGGTCTAATTGAGCTGATTAACACAAGCTGCCTACAGATGGCAAAACTAAAAGAGCACACTGTAGCATGCCCAC
The DNA here is from genome assembly GCF_000001405.40 of Homo sapiens. Classification (NCBI taxonomy): domain Eukaryota; kingdom Metazoa; phylum Chordata; class Mammalia; order Primates; family Hominidae; genus Homo; species Homo sapiens. The sequence goes on along the minus strand of NC_000023.11, from coordinate 86,348,967 downwards.
TGGGGCTTCGGGAGCTCTAAGCATTCACCCCTAGATGCTGCCTAGGGGTCGGAGCCCATGCTCCCCACAACCTGCCCGTCTGCCTGCTCCCCCTAGGGGTTATGAGCAGCGGGACACCAAAGAAGAGAGCCACACCCCCATCACAAGCCCTGAGAGGGGAACAAGGGAACTTTCCCTGTTTCACTTATAATGACAAAAACATTAAAGAGGGGAATACTTTATAAAACAAAGTGCAAATGCTCAGGTTCACAGAAGTTAACATAAGTTATGTCCACCTTACCAAGGAAATGTTCCTTTTTTTCCATTTTGAAGAAAATGGCTTTATTCGATTAAAAAAAAAGAAAATATTAACTTTACCTCGAAAATCCAAAATGTACTCCAATTTCCTCAACAAATTTAGCAAATATGAATTTTGCAGATGATGTATATGGCTGACTGATTCTGTAACAAAATGCATCAGTAATAGTATAGAAATGGCATAAAAATGAAATAAACTTTTTCACCCCATATGACTATACATTTATGGTTCAGTTCCAAGATACCCTGGAAACAAAGGGTAAATTGTTTTATATACAAGAGTTTTCCAAATAACATGTTAAGTAGTACAAAATTATTGGAATGTTTAAGTCTAATCAGAGCTTTAAAGAAGAGTTCAAATGGAAGTTGCGTCCATCTTCACATAAAACATCACATCACTCATAAACCTAATGACAAAACAGTAGATTTTTGCAACAGTCCGAGATGATAAGGGTTTGTGTAGGAGGTTCTCTGATTCTGTCTGTACATGAACTAGCCTTTTACTAAGAAAAAGACGGGTGGTAGGATGGTGACTTGTAAACAATGCGGCACGGTGGAGGCCATGAGCTTGATTCTCTCTAGAAATATACCTGCATTCATTATAACGGGTGGTCTTATGAGTGCATCCGGCTGATATGCCTTCCTGAATGTATATTCAACAACGACTTATGTGTTTATAAAAACAAGGTATCAACAGGCTTAAGTATCAATACTTAACAACTGGAAGCAAAAGCTGAGAGGGAAAATAAGATCTGCAACAGAAAGTTTATAAATGATAAGGAACTTTTCCTCTTAGCATAAACTGATGGAAGAAAAAAGCATGAAATACTAGTGTCCCAAAGTGTACGATACTGATTAATGGAATGAAACCTGTTTCTGTATTTGAAACCAAAATGTTGATATCTCAGCTGCAACAGCAACATTTATGTTTCTTTAAAATGGAATGGTGAGTCTTTAATTATTAAACCAATTGTATTTAGCAGATGGTCAAAGAAATGTACTTTTTAAAAGTTGCCCAGAGGGTTATATAAACGAACAAGCTAAAACAGCTGGCAGCTGGTGCATGAAATCAATAATGAGAAAATGAGCTCTACTGTATCTTTGTTTTCATTGTCTGGTTGAAGACAGTGAAGACAAGAGAGTGAGAGAGAATCAACTTGTAAACTTTACAAATGAGCTGAATGGATTATGTGTATCTAATTAGAAGAGACAAACCTCCTGGAGTGAGACTGTAACTATAGAAATGGTGTGTGTGTGTGTGCGCTTTTGCGTATGTGTGCAAGTGCACCCATGTGCTGAGGGGAGAGGAATACCAAATTCTCTTTGCTGACTACTTCAACTATTCTGTTGTGGGCAATTCATTGCTTAATTTACGGCTTGGGAAAATCCAAATTGCACTTAATCAGAGCAAAATACTTTGAGAGACAGAATCAGCGAAGCTAATGAAATAATGATGATTTGAATATTGATGGTTTTTCCTCGCTTGTTATTGTTTTAAACAATTTCAATAGTTAGAATTTCTTGAATAAAAAAATTATCTCTGGGCATCACAGAATTCCTTTAAGACTGCCTAGTAACTACTTCTACCAGAAGAATCACTACCCAAAATTTTCTATTAATTTTTCATAATGATAATTCTTTATTATGTATGGCCAACTGCAAATATAACTGTGTTTAACATTACAAAACAGTTCTCCATGAAAACATTATGTCTAGAGAGCACTAAACTTTTAGAGCATAAAATTAAAATATAAAATAAAACAAATAAAAGTATACTCACTTCCCTAACCTTACAATCAAAAACTACTATAATAATGTATAAAGGCACAGAGGGTATACTCAACTCTAAAATGAAATAGTCTATGCTCCCAGTGATTGTATGTGGTCACATTTCTTCCGTAAGGTTTCAGTGCATACAATCACCACAAAAAAGTATAGGGGATCCATATTTTAATTCATCTTTAACAGAACAATATGTAATTTGGATGGGGAAAAGGGAGAAACACTATTAAAACTTTATGAACTTATACTTTGAATATATAGCGAGAAAATAAGAAACAGATTTGTAGTATACAGATAGCATGCATGCACTGTTTCAGCTCAAGTCAGCTGTTTTGTTTTTTGGGGTTTTATCTTAAGATGAAAATGGTACATACTGCTCCAACCCATGCTATTTTAGTTTATAGGATTTTATCTTCAGAAGAAAATGATACTCTCAGCTCTAACTTATATCAATTTTTTTTAATGACATGGAATGGATAGATATCTATAAAATCCGAAACTCTAAGTTTGTCCTGAGATGCGAAAGTGATACCTGCTGTAGGTATCAGTAGTGCAATGCAATTAACACTAAATTATTTGGTTTTTGCTAAAAAAAAAAAATGTATCCCATAGCAAAGAAAACTCTGTCTTTCAGCCTGCAGAGTCCGAGAAATGGTAACAGGATGAATTTATGCCCTGACTAGGGGTTGGGCAAATTATTGTGCACTGTGTACTAGTACTCAAGTAAATATGTTTTACCATCACGGCAATTTTGGCAAATATTAGATTAAAAGAAAGAGGAATGTCTTCTTTGATGTTGCCAGTACTTCATTTTCCAGGTCATCACAATCTGGCCTATATTTAAAAAATGTAAACAAGGTTTTTTCATCAGCCCAATTTACCTTCTGTTAGTCAAACAGATTCTACATAAATAAATCACAATCATCATTTTCAATTATTTTTCTGCTGTCAGCAATACTTGCTTTTAATCATGCAATATAAAAAATGTAGATTGCTAGCAATAAGCAGTATTTTTCCCTGTTCTTTTATTTAGGGATCTTGAAAAAAGCATCTAAATGTTACTCAGAGCAAAACTGTAAACTAAAATGCCCTATAATAATAAAGATAAGGCCGTCTCATTTTGTAAGGGAAATGTCTGCATTCTTGGGTAAACAGGAGACATGCATAAATCCAGCCTTGCCTTGTCAGGCAGTCTGTGTGACTTGAGGCTGCATGGTCCGTTATATTTACTAAAAAATTTGATAAATTTATTGAATAATACTAAATAAAACTTGAATAATACTGAATTGCTTTCGCCTCTAGGAAAGGACATTTTGATTCAAAATATGTTTCATTTCTTTTTCTGTACTTCATTGATCTTTTCTTTCATTTTTGCTTCTTTCCTTTATTCCTTCCTCATAACTTTCTCCCTCTCTCCCTCCATCTTTTCTTTACAATCTTTCCTTCCTTTCCTCTTCCTTCTATTTTTTTTCCTGCAAGGAATTTAAAAACACAATCTAATTCATGTCAGGAAATCTATTGATGGAGAGGTCTTGCATTCTTACTTTTAATCATTTAATGTGTGAAATATTAAACTCATGGAGCTACTATAATAAGGTTTATTGGCCATGAAAAAGAAGGCATGACAAAACCTAAATACTTCCCATTTCCTGAGTCCATAAGGATAAAGAAACCACAGCTGACATATCAACTTCATCTGGATAAGGACATTTTTTCCTAGCAACCCTGCTCAGTTAATTAAAGATATATTAAGCCTTTGAATTACCACTTTTGTGGGGAAAAAAAGAGAAATCTTATAGGAAAACAGGAAATAACTTGAAAGGCTTAATGTTTTAAGATGAAAGGAAAAGTAATACAATTGTAATACTGCTCATTCAAGTAAGACTATGGAATTCCTAATCATAACTACTTTAGAGTTTCTAAAGGAGGTTATCAGTAACATGAAATCCAGAATACAAGAAAACACAAGTATTTACAATTTAATACTCATTGAAGGTGGTTGAACATTAATGGGCTTAGAAAGATAATCCTGTAAAAAGAAGTTAACCAGAGAGAAAGTTGTGAAATGTATGTTTGGTCCCTAGGAGCAATGAGACAAAGGGAAAGGAGACTGTCAGAACCCTGAAGATCTTGCAGAAGTATTCAAATAAGTCACCACAAGTACATAAGAACAGAAAAAAATATAATAAAAGCGGTGTTTAGGCAAAAGCATCTATCTGCAGGATTAGAAAGGAAAAGTGACTGTGGACAGAAGCAAAGGGGAGTAGAAGTTGGTGAAAGAAGTTCCCAATAGGAAGTGAAGAGAGCCTAAGTCAGAATGAAAAGTAAGAACATAAAACTAAAAGGTATGATTTCTCTAAAACACATTTCAGAATAAGTGTTGATAGTTCTTGTTGATATATTGGCTAAGAGAAACAACAAAAAAGTAAACATAAGGTTTCAAGCCTAGAGACCTGGAAAAATTAATAATGTAGAGGATATTAACAAGAGGACTGAAAACAATATCAATTTTCAGCATAATGCGTATTTCAATGTGTGTGTGTGTATATATATATATATATATATGCACTTCCAAGTACCTTTTAATTTAGTCTACATCATTAATACCTTGCTGTTTGCTGCTTCTTTCCAGTGTTCTTCCAATGATGGAATTTGTTTATTTATTTAATTTTATTTTTAATTTATGTGGGTACATAGTAATGGTATATATTTATGGTATATATGAGATGTTTTGATACAGGCATGCAATGTGAAATAAGCACATCATGGAGAGTGAGGTGGCCATCCCCTCAAGAATTTATTCTTTGAGTTACAAACAATCCAATTACACCTTTGAGTTATTTAAAAATGTACAATAAGTCATTATTGACTTTAGTTACCCTGTTGTGTATCAAGTAGTAGGTCTTATTCAGTATTTCTCATGATATTTTTGTATCCATTAACCATCCCCACTTCCTCCCCAGCCCCCCACTACCCTTCCCAGCCTCTGGTAATCATCCTTCTACACTCTCCAATGATAAATTTTTTTAAAATATGGATCCAAGTTTCCACTATGTGTCCTCTATGAAATAGATGGCAAATGTTTTTAAATTATGTCTTCTAAGGACATCAATATAATAAATACAAGTTTACAAATAATTTTATATACATTTTTAATTGCTAATCCTTGGGATACACCCTCAGTCTACAGCCAAATCCTTAATAAAGACCTTACCCTTAAAGTCTCTAAGTTCAAACCCTAATGGGTAAAATGCCAAGGATATTATCACTTTAGCTGTTATTCTTGACCTTTACTGCTTGGGCTACATTCTCTCTTTTCCTCTAGACAATAGATGACTGCAGAAGAATGCTGCCTTTAAAAAGTAAATATTTCTTCCATTGAAAATGATTAGAAGACTCTATGCATGTAATTTCTCAAACTCTAAGTCACAGCTCTGGGCAGATGATGCAAATTGGTATTGATGTCATAAACATACTCAGACCAGTGACCGATAGGGCTAAGTCTCCATTTCCTTGTCAAGAACTGTTATTATAAGCTTAATATCTGAAGTATAAGAAAAGACATCAAACAGCTCTGCCCACAACCACTTTCGATAACTTGTAAATTAAACATCTCTCCACCAGAAGCAGGCTCTTTTCCCACTCAATAAGGATCCTTGATTGATATATACTTTTGTTGATAAAGAATAAGCCATTACCCAAATTCAACAGTAGTACAGGCATACCTTAGAGATATTATAGATTAAATTCAAGACCATCCTAATAAAGCCAGTATCACAATAAAACAAGTCACACAAATTTATGGGTTGCCCAGTGCATGCAAAAGTTCTGTTTACACTATACTGCAGTCTACTAAAGTGTGAAACTGTATGATGTCTAAAAAGCCAATGTATATATCTTAATTTAAACAATTATTGTGCTTTAAAATGCTAAGAATCATCTGAGCCTTTGGCAAGTCCTAATCCTTTTGCCGGTGGACAGTCTTGTTTACATGTTGATGGCTGCTGACTGGTCAGGGTGGTGGCTGCTGAGGGTTAGAATGGCTGTGGCAATCTCTTTTTAATTAATTAATTAATTTATTTATTTATATTTCTTGAGACAGAGTCTCACTCCATCACCCAGGCTGGAGTGCAGTGGGGTGATCTCGTCTCATTCCCGGGTTCAAAAGATTCTCATGCCTCAGCCTCCTCAGTACCTGTGATTACAGGTGTGCACCACCATGCCTGGCTAATTTTTGTATTTTTAGTAGAAATGGGGTTTTGTCATGTTGGCCAAGCTGGTCTCGAATTCTTTACATCAAGTGATCTGTCTGCCTCAGCCTCCCAAAGTAGTGGGATTACAGGAGTGAGCCACCGTACCTGGCCCAATTTAGTTTTATTTTCTTGAGACAGGGTCTCACTCTATTAACACCCAGGCTGGAGTGCAGTGGCATAATCACTGCTCATTGCAGCATCACTCCCAGGCTCAAGCAGTCTGGCTTGCACTTTAGCTTCCTGGGTATCTGGGACTATAGGTGTGCTCCACATAACTCAGCTAATTTTTTTTATTTTTTTGTAGAGACAGGGTCTCCCTGTGTTACGCCATCTGGTCTTGAACTCCTGGGCTCAAGAGATCCTCCTACATCAGACTTACAAAGGTCTTGGAATACAGACATGAGCCATCATGACTGGCTGCAAACTGTCTTAAAATAAGACAACAGCGAGTTTGCCACATCAATTGACTTCTTTCTCAAAATATTTCCCTGTAGTATGTCATGCTGTTTGATAGCATTTTACTCACAGTAGTACTTATTTCAAAATTGGATTCAGTCCTCTCAAATGCTACCACTGCTTTATCAACTACGTTTATGTAATATTCTAAATACTTTGTTGTCATTTTGGCAATGATCACAGCATCTTTACCAGGGATAGATTCCATCTCAAGAAACCACTGTCTTTGCTCATCCGTAAGAAGCAACTCCTCAGCCATTCAAGTTTTAGCATGAGATTGCAGCAATTCATTCACATCTTCAGGCTCCACTTTTAATTCTAGTTCTCTTGCTCTTTCTACCATGTCTGCAGTTACATCCTCCACTGACGTCTTGAATACCTCAGTCATCCCCGAGGGCTGGAATCAACGTTTTCCAAACTCCTGTTGATGTTGATATATTGACCTCCTCTTGTGAATCACAAATGTTCTTAAAGGCAACTAGAATGGTGAATCTTTTCCAGAAGGTGTTCAATGGGCTTTTTCCAGATCCATCAGATGAATCACTATCTATGGCCGCTGTAGCCTTACAAAATGTATTCCTTAGAAAAAGAGACTTGAACATCGAAATTGTTCCTTGATCCATGGGCTGCAGAATGGATGCTATGTTAGCAGGCATGAAAACAAATCACGGCTCTTGGGTGACCAGATGCTTTGTCAATGAACAGTAATATATTGAAAGAAATCCTTTTTTTTCCTGAACAGTAGGTTTCAATAGTGGGCTTAAAATATTTATTAAGCCGTGCTGTAAACAAACATGCTGTCATCTAAGTTTTCTTGTGCCATTTGTAGAGCACAGGCAGAGTAGTTTTAGCATACTTTTTAAGGGCCTTAGGATTTTCAGAATGGTAAATGAGCATTGGTTTCAACTAAAGTCACCAACAGCATTAGACTCTAACAAGAGAGTCAGCCTGTCTTTCGACGTTTTGAAGGCTGGCATTGACTTTTCTCCAGCTACAAAAGTTCTAGACAGTATGTTTTCCCACTTCTAGACAGTATGTTTTCCCACTATGAGACTGTTTCATCTACACTGAAATTCTGCTATTTAATGTAACCAACTTCCTCAATTATCTTAGCTGGATCTTCTGGATAACTTGCTCCAGATTCTAAATCAGCACCTGCTGCTTCACCTCACACTTTGATACTGTGGAGACAGCTTCTTTCCTTAAATCTCATGAACCAACTTCAGCTAGCTTCCAACTTTTCTTCTGAAGCTTCTTATCTCTCTCAGCATTCACAGAATTGAAGACCGGTAGGGCCTTGCTCTGGATTAGGCTTTGGCTTAAGAAAATGTTGTGGCTGATCTGATCTTCTAGCCAGACCACTCAAACTTTCTTCACATCAGCAAACGGCTGTTTCACTTTATTATCCGTGTGTTCACTGGCATAGCACTTTTTAATTTCCCTCAAGAACATTTCCTTTGCATTCATGACCTGGCAAACTGTTTTTTGTAAGAGGCCTGGCTTTTGGCCTATCTCAGAGGGTTTTGACATGTCTTCCTCGCTAAGCTTAATCATTTCTAGCTTTTGGTTTAAAGTGAGAGATGTGTGACTCTTCCTTTCACTTGAACACTTAGAGGGCATTGTTGGGTGTTTACTTGGACTAGTTTTAATACTGCTGTGTCTCAGGGAATAGGGACGCCCAAGGAGAGGGGGAGAGATAGAGGAAAGACCAATCAGTGGAGCGATGAGAACACGCAGACATTTAGCGATTAAGTTTGCCATTTACACTGCTGTGGTTTGTGGTGTTCCGAAATAATTACAGTGATAACATCAAAGATCACTGACCATAGATCATCATAACAGATATAATAATAATGAAAATGTTTGCATACTTGTGAGAATTACCAAAATGTCAAACAGAAACCCAAAGTGAACACAAGATGTTGGAAAATGGCACTGATAGACTTGTTTGATCCGGGGTTGCCACAAACCTTTAATTTGTAAAAAAACACAATATCAACTAAGTGCAATAAAGTAAGGCACAATAAAACAAGGTATGCCTGTACAAGGTATCCTAGGAAAATCAGCCAAGCCAAACGTAAAAAGTAAAAATAGTGTTTTTATTGATATTTCTTAATTGTGTAAGTGCTGAGGAGATATAAAGATTTCAAAAGCTTTTTAAAAAATATTTCATAAAGGTTAGCAATAAAGATAATGTACAAAGTATATCAAGGCACTTTATGTAATCAAGAAGTTCTTGGTCTAACATAAAGAAATCTCTGTGACAAAGTTTTAATATTATGGTACCTGGCCATTTTATGTATTATTTTCTAGAATTTCACTTAGCCTCATGAAGGGTTGAATTTATAGTGGATATGCATCATATTAGCATTTTGAAGAATCTTTTAGCATGAAGTTTTAAAAACTATTGCAGATCTTCAGACTTTTTCCTTCCATTTTCTGATTTCCTAGCAAACAGGCACCAAACCTAAGAGGCAGTGTGGTGCAGGGATTAAGAGTATAGACTTTGAAGCCAGAGTTGGGAAATACATACAGACTCTGAGCTCCACCACTTATTAGCTATGTGACCTTGAGCAAGTCATTTGACCTTCTTGTGCCTCAGGTTCCTTATCTGTAAGACAGGAATAATAATAGTACTTATTTCATATGGATGTTGTCTTTATTCAATGTGTTTAAAATATATTAAAGTGCTCAAGTTTGTGCCCGCCACATAGTAAGGGATGTGTTTGTTAAAATCATTATTCTGATAAATCAAATATCATAAGATTATAAGATTTAATCATAAAATTTATCTTAGTCTGTAAGATCTACTTTACTTACTAAATGAACCTTTAAGATTTAAAACTATAGAATGGTAAAGTCCCTTGCTCTGATCTCTTGAGAAACAATTCTATAAGGAATAAGTTCTTGATCACTAGGTATTGTCATTTCTCTTTAAGAGATAGTACCAGATTTAATGATACTCCCTGTTTTATATTGTGGCAGGTATAAATTCATATTGTTTGGAATAGTTTCAGAAGGCGGGGTACCAACTCCTCTTTGTACCTCTGGTAGAATTCAGCTGTGAATCCGTCTGGTCCTGGACTGTTTTTGGTTGGTAGGCTATTAATTACTGCCTCAATTTCAGTACTTGTTATTGGTCTATTCAGGGATTTGACTTCTTCCTGGTTTAGACTTGGGAGGATGTATATGTCCAGGAACTTATCCATTTCTTCTAGATTTTCTAGTTTATTTGCATAGAGATGTTTACAGTATTCTCTGATGGTAGTTTGTATTTCTGTGGGATCAGTGGTGATATCCCCTTTATCACTTTTTATTGCATCTATTTGATTCTTCTCTTTTCTTCTTTATTAGTCTGGCTAATGGTCTATCTATTATGTTGACCTTTTCAAAAAACCAGCTCCTGGATTCATTGATTTTTTGAAGGGTTTTTCATGTCTCTATCTCCTTCAGTTCTGCTCTGATCTTAGTTATTTCTTGTCTTCTCCTAGCTTTTGAATTTGTTTGCTCTTGTTTCGCTAGTTCTTTTAATTTTGATGTTAGGGTGTTGATTTCCGATCTTTCCTGCTTTCAATTGTGGGCATTTAATGCTATAAATTTCCCTCTAAACACTGCCTTAAATGTGTCCCAGAGATTCTGGTATGTTGTGTCTTTGTTCTCATTGGTTTCAAAGAACATCTTCATTTATGCCTTAATTTTGTTGTTTACCCAGTAGTCTTTCAGGAGCAGGTTGTTCAATCAGTTTCCATGTAGTTGTGCAGTTTTGAGTAAGCTTCTTAATCCTGAGTTCTAATTTGATTGTGCTGTGGTCTGAGAGACTGTTATGATTTTCTGTTCCTTCAGATTTGCTCTAGAGTGTTTTACTTCCAATTATGTGGTCAATTTTAGAATAAGTGTAATGTGGTGCTGAGAAGAATGTATATTCTATTGATTTGGGGTGGAGAGTTCTGTAGATGTCTATTAGGTCCACTTGGTCCAGAGCAGAGTTCAAGTCCTGAATATCCTTACTAATTTTGTGTCTTGTTGATCTGTCTAATACTTACAGTGGGATGTTAAAGTATCTGTCTGTTATTGTGTAGGAGCCTAAGTCTCTTTGTAGGTCTCTAAGAACTTGCTTTATGAATTTGAGTGCTCCCGTATTGGGTGCATATATATTTAGGATAGATAGTTCTTGTTGCATTAATCCCTTAACCATTATGTAATGCCCTTCTTTGTCTCTTTTGATCTTTGTTGGTTTAAAGTTAAAGTCTATTTTATCAGAGACTAGGTCTGCAACCCCTGATTTTTTTTGATTTCCATTTACTTGGTAAATAATCCTACATCCCTTTATTTTGAGCCTGTGTGTGTCTCTGCACATGAGATGGGTCTCCTGAATACAGCACACTGATGGGTCTTGACTCTTTATCCAATTTGCCAGTCTATGACTTTTAATTAGGGTATTTAGCCCATTTACATTTAAAGTTAATATTGTTATGTGTGAATTTGATCAAGTCATTATGATGCTAGCTGGTTATTTTGCCTATTAGTTAATCCAGTTTTTCCATAGTGTCGATGGCCTTTACAATTGGGTATGTTTTTGCACTGGCTGTTGCCAGTTGTTCCTTTCCATGTTTAGTGCTTCTTTCAGGAGCTCTTGTAAGGCAGACTTGTAAGGTGTTTGCTTGTCTGTGAAGAATTTTATTTCTCCTTCACTTATGAAGCTTAGTTTGGGTGGATATGAAATTCTGGGTTGAAAATTATTTTCTCTAAGAATGTTGAATATTGGCCCCCACTCTCTTCTGGCTTGTAAGGTTTCTGCAGAGAGATCAGCTGTTATTCTGATAGGCTTCCCTTTATGGGTAACCCAACCTTTCTCACTGGCTGCTCTTAACATTTTATCCTTCATTTCAACCTTGGTGAATCTGAGAATTATGTGTCTTGGAGTTGCTCTTCTCGAGGAGTATCTTTGTGGCATTCTCTGTATTTCCTGAATTTGAATGTTGGCCTGTCTTGATAGGTTGAAGAAGTTCTCCTGGGTAATATCCTGAAGAGTCTTTTCCAACTTGGTTCCATTCTCCCTGTCACTTTCAGGTACACCAATCAAACATAGATTTGATCTTTTCACATATTCCCATATTTCTTGGAGGCTTTGTTCATTCTTTTTCATTCTTTTTTCTCTAATCTTGTCTTCTCACTTTATTTCATTAAGTTGATCTTCAATCTCTGATATCCTTTCTTCTGCTTGATCGATTCAGCTATGGATACTTGTGTATGCTTCACAAAGTTCTCATGCTGTGTTTTTCAGCTCTATCAGGTCATTTATGTTCTTCTCTAAATGGGTTATTCTAGTTAGCAATTGGTCTAACCTGTTTTCAAGGTTCTTAGCTTTCTTGCATTGGGTTAGAACATGCTCCTTTAGCTCAGAGGAGTTTATTATTATCCACCTTCTGAAGCCTACTTCTGTCTATTTGTGAAACTCATTCTCAATCCAGTTTTGTTCCCTTGCTGGTGAAAAGTTGTGATCCTTTGGAGGAGAAGAGGCATTCTGGTTTTTAGAATTTTAAGCCTTTCTGCACTTGTTTCTCCCCATCTTCATGGATTTATCTACATTTGGTCTTTGATGTGGGTGACCTTCTATGGGGTCTCTGAGTGGATATGCTCTTCCTTTCTGTTTGTTAGTTTTCCCTCTAACAGTCAGGCCCATCTGCTGCAGGTCTGCTGGAGTTTGCTGAAGGTCCACTCCAGACCCTGTTTGCCTGGGTATCACCAGCAGAGGCTGCAGAACAGCAAAGATTGCTGCCTCTTCCTTCCTCTGGAAGCCCAGGACCAGACAGACTCACAGCTGAATTCTACCAGAGGTACAAAGAGGAGCTGGTACCATTCTTTCTGAAACTATTCCAAACAATAGAAAAAGAGGGAATCCTCCCTAAATCATTTTATGAGGCCAGCATCATCCTGATACCAAAACCTGGCAGAGACACACACAAAAAGAAAATTTCAGGCCAATAGCCCTGATTAAAATAGATGCAGAAATCCTCAATAAAATACTGGCAGACCGAATCCAACAGCACATCAAAAAGCTTATCCACCATGATCAAGTTGGCTTCATACCTGGGAAGCAAGGCTGGTTCAAAATATGCAAACCAATAAACGTAATCTATCACATAAACAGGACCAATGACAAAAACCACATGATTATCTCAATAGATGCAGAAAAAGCCTTCAACAAAATTCAACAGCCCTTCATGCTAAAAACTCTCAATAAACTAGGTATTGATGGAACGTATCTCAAAATAATAAGAGCTGTTCATGATAAACCCACAGCCAATATCATACTGAATAGGCAAAAGCTGGAAGCATGCCCTATGACAACCAGCACAAGACACGGATGCCCTCTCTCACCACTCTTATTCAACATAGTATTGGAAGTTCTGGCCAGGGCAATCAGGCAAAGGAAAGCAATAAAAAGTATTCAAATAGGAAGAGAGGAAGTCAAATTGTCTCTGTTTGCAGAATACATGATTGCATATTCAGAAAACCCCATCATCTCAGCCCAAAATCTCCTTAAGCTGATAAGCAACTTCAGCAAAGTCTCAGGATACAAAATCAATGTGCAAAAATCACAAGCATTCCTATACACCAAGAACAGACAGAGAGCCAAATTATGAGTGAAGTTCCTTTCACAATTTCTACAAAGAGAATAAAATACCTAGGAATCCAACTTCCAAGGGATGTAAAGGACCTATTCAAGGAGAACTACAAACCACTGCTCAAGGAAATAAGAAAGGACACAAATACATGGAAAAACATTTCATGTTATGGATAGGAAGAATCAGTATTGTGAAAATGGCCATACTGCTAGAAGTAATTTATAGATTCAATGTTATTCCCATCAAGCTACCATTGAGTTTCTTCATAGAATTAGAAAAAAAAATACTTTAAATTTTATATGGAACCAAAAAAGAGCATGTGTAGCCAAGAAGCAAAAAGAACAAAGCTGGAGGTATCATGCTACCTGACTTCAAACTTTACTACAAGGCTACAGTAACCAAAACAGCATGGTACTGGTACCAAAACAGATATGTAGAAAAATGGAACAGAACAGAGGCCTCGGAAATAGTGCCCCACATCTACAACCATCTGATCTTTGACAAACCTGATCAAAACAAGCAATGGGGAAAGGATTCTGTATTTAATAAATGTTGTTGGGAAAACTGGCTAGCCATATGCAGAAAACTGAAACTGGACCCCTTCCTTATACCTTATACATAAATTAAATCAAGATGGATTAAAGACTTAAAGGTAAGACCTAAAACCATAAAAACCCTAGAAGAAACGCTAGGCAATACCATTCAGGACATAGGCATGGGCACACACTTCATGACTAAAACACCAAAAGCATTGGCAACAAAAGCCAAAATTGAGAAATGGGATCTAACTAAACTAAAGAGCTTCTGCACAGCAAAAGAAACTATCATCAGAGTGAACAGGCAACCTACAGAATGGGAGAAGACGTTTGCAATAAATCTGTCTGACAAAGGGCTAATATTCAGATTCTACAAAGAACTTAAACAAATTTACCAGAAAAAAACAAACAACCCCATCAAAAAGTGGGTGAAGAATATGAACAGACACTTCTCATAAGAAGACATTTATGCAGTCAGCAAACATATGAAAAAAGGCTCATCATCTGTGGTCATTAGAGAAATGCAAATCAAAACACAATGAGATACCATCTCACATCAGTTAGAATGGTGATCATTAAAAAGTAAGGAAACAACAGATGCTGGAGAGGATGTGGAGAAATAGGAATGCTTTTACACTGTTAGTGGAAGTGTAAATTAGTTCAACCATCATGGAAGACAGTGTGGCAATTCCTCAAGGATCTAAACCTAGAAATAATACCTTTTGACCCAGCAATCCCATTACTGGGTGTAGACCCAATGGATTATAAATTATTCTACTATAAAGACACATAAACACTTATGTTTATTGTGGCACTGTTCACAATAGCAAGGACTTGGAACCAACCCAAATGCCCATCAATGATAGACTGGATAAAGAAAATGTGGCACATATACACCATGGAATACTATGTAGCCATAAAAAGGATGAATTCATGTCTTTTGAAGGGACATGGATGAAACTCGAAACCATCATTCTCAGCAAACTAACACAAGAACAGAAAACCAAACAGTGTATGTTCTCACTCATAAATGGGAGTTGAACAATGAGAACACATGGACACAGGGAGGGGAACCTCACACACTGGGGCCTGCTGGGTGGTGGGGGACTAGGAGAGGGATAGCATTAGGAGAAATACCTAATTAGATGATGGGTTGATGGTTGCAGCAAACCACCATGGCAAGTGTATAGCTATGTGACAAACCTACACTTTCTGGCACATGTATCCCAGAACTTAAAGTATATTAAAAAAAATTAATAAGTATAATCATTCAAGTTTAATTGTAAAATAATTATGAAAGATCAAACATTTTGACCAAATTAATCTTACAAATTCTCCTATCTCATTACTTTCCCTCAAATATCTATTGTTCTTTAATCAGTATGGGGAAAAGAGTAGTACATAAAGGATTGTCAGGTTTATTTGATTTAAGTCTTCAAGGGCACTTTTTGCCTATGTTTGGACTTGTCCACTAGTTACTAATTCTTGTTGTCAGCTTTCTAGCTGTCTTTCTGAACCCCTTGTTTCCAGTTCAAACTAAATGACCACACTTGCTACTGTTAAGAGTGTGAGAAGGTCAGCAAGGTCACTCCTTCCCATAGACTTACTGGAGAATTCACACAGAGATAGGGAGCAAGCCTCTCTTGCATTTTTCTTGCAGTAAAATGGAGGCTTTCATGACAGTCTTTTGAAATTAAACAATAGGCTCACCTTTTTCATAAGTGTGCATGATTTTTAAATATGTAATTACTTCATCTTTTAAGCTGTATTTCATTTGAAGTTTCAAAAAATAGATTTAATGGTCATTGCTAAGTCTAAAAACTTCAAAAATTGGAAATCAAGAGAATTAAAGAAGGAACAATAGAAAATATAAAAAGTCTACATCCAGCAGCATTAAATCATACAGTCGTTTATCCCTAGATTTTGAATATAGTAAATCACAAGGTACTGTCTCTATACTGTTGTTTTATTTTCCTTGCAGAAGAGTTAATATATTATCCATTTATAAAGTGTTAGTCACAGCAACAGATCAGTGAAAAACTAATAAGCATAAATTACTGAAAGCTTGATTAAAATGATAGCATTAAGCAGACTATAACACATGCACAAATACACACATACTTTTATTATCCTCAATGTATTTTATTCCTCTGTTATGATCTTATACATTTGGTGAGATGAAACAAACTTGTTATAATATATTGCACTGGAATTCTCTAACTTGAATTATGGAATTTTAGCCTTCTACTCCAAAGCAAACACAAAAGACAAAGAAATATTCAGAATTTAAATCTGTCTTTTTAAAAAAGTATTCAATTTGGTATAATTTTTACTATCATAACTAATTCTCTGATGCTATCAGTACATTTTTTTCAGGTCCCTGTGCTTTAGAGATGTTAGTGTTACGTTTATAATATTTCTCTAAAGAACTCAAAAAGGTTTTAATATGTTATCTGAATACACACATACAAAAATAAAAATTGAAGAAATACTATAATCATTAATTTGCAGATTGACTAACTTTCATTAAGAAGTTGAGTTCAATGGTAAAGACCGGACTGCAGTCAGAATCTGCCTCATTTTACTCTTTAGGGATTAAAGTACTTTTTGATATGCACTATTAGACTACTCATACAAAAATAGAACCAATACCTGGTAGTCGGAGGCCACAATTATGATTCTTAGATACAATTTAGTATCCTGGAAAGTAGTATTTATTAACTGGGCAACACTGTTATTGAAGAATCAAGGCATTTTAAAATTAAAGTATTTTGTTTGTTACAAAATAAAGTGAGAAATAAATAGCTCCGACCACTAAGGGACATATATCAACATGCCATAAAAATTTTACCTACCACATACAATGTTTTCTGGATTCCAAGCTTAGTGACTATATAACCATAAATTTAAAGCACTATCTTCAATACGTAATGAAACCTCAGTCACTATACTGTTCAGGCAAATCTGAGCTTTTGCTTAGCTTAATTTTCAGGTTAACCAAGTATTAAAGAGAAAACTCAGAAAACTCCATGTCGGTGAAAAATCTTTTCAAACTGAGTCTTATAAACGCAGATAGGAAATATAATTCAACTTTTATTTTTTTCCAATGGCTCAGAACCTCCCAGTGTCTTGATATACTCACTCTGTACATGTATCATCACTAGCATGAGCAGGTTGCTGAAGGGTAACATCCTAGAATTGGGTCACGTCTCTAATCTTCCTCCCCATATCAAACCCATCACATACACTGCAAGTTGAAAGAGTTGACACTTGTATAGTGTATTTTTAATATTAATCTATAATTTTTGAAATTATGCTTAAAAGTATATATCTGACAGTAAAATATCAATCAATAGAAGTGTTGAGAATTTCTATAATTCCCTGATATGATATGCACATTTTTCTGCCATTTTCCCCTTTTGTAAAAGCCTTCCTATAAAAAGCCCTATCTAATAGCAATGTCAGCCTGGAGGACAGGCACCAGTAAGTGACAATTAGACTTCAGACAGGCTTACTTCTGTTTTTTTGTTTGTTTGTTTGTTTGTTTGTTTTATCTTCCAGGATTTACATTCTAATTTAGTGTATTTAATATTCTAAAGCTCGAGGTAGCAGCAAAATTTCAGAAATGAGCCCTTGTCTGAAATGTTATCCAAGTGACCCTGCTGTTATTTTAAAGCCCAGGTGTCATGAAGCAGTATAACTAACCACATTGGGTTAGTTTGTGTCAATGGGAACCTGCATTTACTGACGCCGACAGCCTCGACTCTTGTAAATATCTCAACAGGAGTAACTTGATAAACCTTTCATCCAATGATGTTTTGCTATAATAATAGCAAAAACGGTTTGATTTGACATGTGCAAACTCCATGGTGAGTGGGTAGGCTTTGAAAGTAACTTTCCAAGTTCAAATACAAGGCTGGTGTTTTATACTTTACAGTCCAACTGGTTTGAATCATAATTCTCTAGTGAAAAATATACTCCTTCTTTCCCATTTTCCCCAAATAACAATGAAACTGTGGTTTTCTTAAAGTAAAATTTCATGTGTAAATAGTATACTTGGTTCAAATGAACTCTGTATATTTGAAATCATGTTCTTTGTAGTTGTTCAAATTAGGAACTCAGGACAAAATCCACATGGTCATGGCCAGAACAGTCTAAATTATCCACCTCATGGGAAAATACTTTTCATTTTAGTATTTCTTAAGCTCCTATATATTACTGTCTAAAAGTATTGTAAGAAGTATGCTTACTTCACAAAAACATGCAAACATATCTTCAATCAACTGCTATCCAAAGACCCAAATTACGTACCTTGATTATCCAGAATTTAATTATATAATGCAGTCAATTAACACCATTTAATTATATACTACCATTAAGAAAAAGTATTTTAAAATTACTTAGAGGTGTTGTTTTTAAAATTATTATTATTTCATAACACATCACTGACTTCCAAGCACATTCTAAGACAGTAAGACCAAGCTCTTGCACCTTCTATAATTTTATCCATCTTGTTGTCTAATTAAAATTGATGAGTAGAAAGCTGATTCTGAGGCAGTAAGATTTCAATCATCCAACTAAAGTTGAATTCATATTTACTGTACAATGCTAAGGCAGGCAATAAAATGGGATAATATTTATTAAAATTATTTTCAACAAGGATTAACAACACAAACATGATTAATTTCAATTAGCTGGAACCTCCTTGCCTTATGATTCTAAGTTAATCAAGATTTTTGATGTAAGCCATCCACATTCTCATACAAAAGCTTTCTTATTTGGAAAAAATAAGATTTTGATGATCTAAAATAGGTTGTACACTCTTCTGTGTCAATTCCTATGAAGGAAACAACTATTTAATTGTATTAAAATTGTCCTCTTTCTTAAAACAAGAATTAATGACAAGTCTGTCATCCAAAGCAAATATTCTCTTTAATACAATGGCACTTGTGTGCTTAGAAAAGTTCCAATTTTGTTGCTCTTATTGGCGTCACCAGTGACCACTATTCTAGTTATCTCAACAAACACAGTTTTCTCCATTTTCAAAGAAAAATCACTTCCAAGCTGCTTTCAAACACTAGCCCCAAATAAAACTATCCTAAGAGAGTTCCTGAACACAGGAATCCCACATCAACAACACTATAAATATCTTCCAAACACTCAGATCAATGTCCGCAATGGTTTGCAATAAATGAGTCCTAGTAAATTCTAATGGAACTCCAAATCCCACAGGCTGTTGATAGGCTATCGTCAAATGAAAGTCCCATAACATGATCTAAAATAAAGCTATAGGTTTCTGTTGTCCCAGAAGACTGCCTCTTCTTCAGTTATTTTTCTGTAAACAGAATGCTAACACAGACTTACACAACCCCTACTGAACCACCACCAAATCCAAAGCTCACTGGTACTCATATACAGCAAGATCAGATTTTTCTTAAGTAAGAAAAAAAAAATTTATTTGATTGATGCTGAGAGCTGAACCATGTTTAGACAGGGTCATGACCCCAGGCATCCATTTAATCAAATTTCTCTGCTGCCTCTCCCACTGGAGCCATCACAACAAGAAACTCTCTCAATGAAAAGGGAGGGGAGCAGGGAAGCATACTTCACATCTCACTTTGTTTACATGCTGTTAAGTAATTATTTCACTCTTCCACCCCCACTGGCCATCAACAGACAAGTCACCTCCTTGGAGACTGAAAAGCCTATTCAGCTGTATATAGCTCATTTTTTTTTCCCCCTTCATAGTGAAGCTAACTGCCTAGCTTAAAGACTTCTTTACGGATACCAAAGTATACTCTGTTTGTGCTAATGATCTCACTAATTATAAGTGTATTTATCATATAGATGTTCCAGCTTCTCTTTATGTTTCTCCAGCAGTCCTTTATGTATAATTTTTCCACCCTCATCACACCACTTCAATCCTTCAGGATGAATACCCCTCCCCATCCGCACATACACAGTAAAATCTGTTTTCCCAAGGAATCGTGTCATTGTTTGAGTGATCAAGCAATTTATTATTTTTCAGGAGTTTTCAACAACACTCTGATCTTTAATGCAGCTCTTCTCCAGGGCAAAGAGCATAAATGAGGCATGTAGATAAGAGAGAATTACAGTTTGCCTTTATTTAATAGCTTTATCAGTCAGACTACTAGAGATGCAGAAAATGGTAACCTATTCACTCAACCTTTTCAGATTGCTGTCCTAAAAAGCAAGAAGGGAAAGTGGGGGCAAGAAAAAAGGCTTATACTCTATCTAATTGCAATTCAGGAATTGAAGGTGAATGACTTGAAATCTAGGTATAGGCAGAATCCTCTCAAACCCAAATGGAAGCAGACTTCAGAACATATGTTTAGAGACTCAAAGCTGAAACGAAGTCCCAGGTCTCAAAATCAAAGGTCATTTTTCTTTTGAACTTTCTTTTTTTGTTGCTTTTTCCAACTTCTGCTGAAGTAAACATATTCAGATCATTTTGTTCCTCTCGGGAAATGAGAGACAAGTTCAAAAATATTAATGGTTAAAAACAATACTGCATGGGGATTAACTTAATAGGTTTCTTAGAATTGTTACTTGAAAAATCAATTTTGAGTACTTTTCCTTATTTTACCTTCAACTTGTACTTTCAGATTAATGGTCATCTGTGAAAATGAAATTGTTTAAGTGAATGACTCCCCCAATGAGATACTTCTATTACCATATTACATTACTAATAATATGCTCACAAGTACAATATATGCTTCTCTCCCAAAAGTTTAATACACGGCAGATATCTAGACTAAGATTTTCGTTCTCTCAGTCCTTGTACAATATCCACTATCAAAAGGAATATGGTACCCTGCTTGATGCATAGAGACAGATTAAAATGAAAGTTAGTATGCTTGGAGTAAATTTAATTATTTTCATGTTTTAGTATGTAGTCATAGTAAATGATATTTCTGATGAGAAATGAAAAAAATAAAGAAATCTGCTGAGAAATAAAGTAACAAATGAGGAAGAAAAAAACAAGTATTGCAGTAATGGTAAAAGGTGGTAAATTATAAGGAAGATTGAGAAATACACAAATGCAGAAATTAAAGCTAAAAATACCAACATAATAATTTAATGTGATTTGCAAAGAAAGACTTGTTCCAGATATCCTTTAAAGTCATGGAGGTGAATAAAATAATTAACAAGAGAAAATCAAGAATAAGCTTGATATGCCACGAAGATCACTGGGCTGTGTCTCAAAAACTAAGTTCCAATGGCTATTTGAGCTACCAAAAACAAGTAATTTCATTTTCTTAAATTTTCTTCCTCATCTATAAAATAAGAGAGCAAACTAAATGATTTCTAATGTTCCTTATGTCTCTTAAACCTAATGACAATTCTGAGATAACTGAAACCACAGAAAAGCTTTAATGTTTACAACACTAACTTTTCGTCCTACCTTTTTTCTTGTACTCATGATAGCTTCATTCTGTAACAGGGACAGGGGGAAAATAATCCACCCTTGACACCTTTACCACTATTTAATTTTGTCCCTTATTCAAAAACATTGATTTACCTGGAATTGCCAATCAGTGAAAAATAATAGGAATCTCAATCTAACATTTCTTTTTCTCTAAAAATTTCTTAAAGCTTAAGGAGAAAGACTGGCCTGAGAATGATGTATGTGTGTCTTGGTGAGAAACAAAGCCAGAGGCAGGTAAAGCACCAGAATCTGCAAGTAATGATAAAAGGAGTATTTATAATTAACAGCTCCTTTCCATTTATGTTTCACTATTCATTTTCTAAAGTGCCCAATATTTCATAGTGACAACTGAAAGAATATTGGGCAGATCTCCTGAATGAAGAGGAAGTATAAAGATTTCCAGATATCTTATTTAGTTTATATCTACTACCAGAGAATGCTTATTTTTAAAAAAGTAATTGTATAATTTTATCCCTCAGGGTGGGTGTAATTACTCAAGTTCAAATCTGTATTTCATTTTCATCCACTCATACAGATTTAAGTGTCTATGATGGTGCCTGGTACACAGTCAACTCTTGAAAAATATCTGTTAAATGAATGAATACATGAGTAGATGGGTGGATGGATACATGAACCGATTGATGGTTATTTCCTTCAATTGACGTCTTCATTACATACAAAAGGTAGTGCCATTTGGAATGGTTTTGAACACAACCAACCTGAAATTTACCTCTTTATTACCTAGAATGTAAAAATCCCTTAATAAATAGATTTTTTAACCATATGTTCTCACTTACAAGTGGAAGCGAAACATTGGTTACACATGGACATAAGGATGAGGAAAACAAATACTGGAGGACACAGGAGGGACAAGGAGGGAGAAGGGCAAGAGAAGAAAAACTACCTATTGAGTATTATGCTCACTGCCTGAGTGACAGATTCATTCGCACTCCAAACCTCAGCATCACCCAATATACCTTTGCAACAAAACTGCATATATACCCTGCTGAATCCAAAATAAAAGTTAAAAAATTATATATATATATATATATGTGTGTGTGTGTGTGTGTGTGTGTATGTATAATTTTTTAACTTTTACAGAGTCTCACTCACTCCATCACCCGAACTGGAGTGCAGTGGCACAGTCTTGGCTCACTACAACCTCCGCCTCCTGGGTTCAAGCAATTCTCCTGCCTCAGCCCTCCAAGTAGCTGAAATTACAGGTGGCTGCCACTATGCCCAGCTAATTTTTTGTAGAGATGGAGTTTCACCATGTTGGCCGGGCTGCTCTCAAACTCCTGACCTCGTGATTCACCCATCTCAGCCTCCCAAAGTGCTGGGATCACAGGCGTGAGCCACCGCACCCAGCCGGATACAGATATTTTTAAATGCAAACAAGGGCTACAGATTGCATAATTCTAGGATGTGCCATTTGCATTGTATTCTGTATAAATGGTGACCAGTGGAGAAGTTCAAGGGAGTAGCCTGACAAAGTGAAAAATTCAAATTTTTCAAAAGTAGTTATTTGCATGCAAAAACTTGATAGATGTTTTACATACAATATTTAGTGAAGTCCTCCAACAACTCATTTAGAGATATATTACTAATCCAAATGAAAAATAAAAAAAAAAATCCTGAGGCTCAGAAAAACTGATTTAACTGATTTAACCAAAATCGCTGCTAGTAGCTGAGCAAGGATCAAACCCATATCTATCTACTCCAAAGCTCCCACTTTTTCTGCTATACTGTAATAGTCTATCTATAAGGCAAAACTCTGTTCACCTTGTTATAATTACAGAATTTACATAAATATAACAACACTCCACAATAACGGCACTTCTAAAGTTGGAAATGTTGAGTGAAAATTTTTACTTCCAGTTCACATTTACAAATTATGCAACAGTGATGAGTAGTAACTGATCTCACTAAAATTGCATCAAGTTGATTGCATAAGCTTTATAATACCAAATGGTGACAATGAAAATTAAATTAAAATATTAAAAATTGACCATTGAAGAAAATGTCATTAAAATAGATTCAAAATTGTTGTTTATATGACCAAAACTTAATTCAATCCTCAATAAAAGTTGAGCCCCCAATATGAATCACATTTCTGCAAGAGCATTTCCAAGGACAATCAGAGTCATCTAACTTGATATTAAAATGATATTAAAAGATCATAAAACTTTTTCCTCTCTCTCTCTCTCTCATTCCATCTCTCTTTCACTTCACTCATTTCTCTTGAACTTCTGGTGGAACCTGTGGCATACTCAATTAAGCGTGAGCTCGCTGGCAAGTGTATACTGACATGAAAGTCATATGCTTTAGATACCCTTTAGATACCAGATATTCACACAGCAACATTAACATTATATGAGCCTGAAATACGGGTTTGGAGATATTACGGGTTGGGTTTCAGGCCACCACAAAAAAGTAAATATCACAATAAACCAAGTCACAATTTTTTTTCTTTCCCAGTGCATAGAAAAGTTATGTTTACACTATACTGTAGCCTACTCAGTTTGCAATCAAATGATATCTAAAAAACCATGTATGTATCTTAATCTAAAAATATATTATTCCTAAAAATTGCTAACAATCATCTGAGCCTTTGGCAAGTCCTAATACTTTTGCTGGTGGAGGCACCACCAGCTGGTCCTATATGTTGATGGCTTCTGACTGATCACGGTGGGATCTGCTGAAGGCTTGAGTGGCTGTGACAATTTCTTAAAATAAGACAACAGTGGCTCACGAGGTCAGGAGATTGAGACCATCCTGGCTAACACAGTGAAACCCCATTTCTACTAAAAATACAAAAAATTAGCCAGGCAAGGTGCGGGCGCCTGTAGTCCCAGCTACTTGGGAGGCTGAGGCAGGAGAATGGTGTGAACCCGGGAGGCGGAGCTTGCAGTGAGCCGAGATCACGCCACTGCACTCCAGCCTGGGCCACAGAGTGAGACGCCATCTCAAAAAAAAAAAAAAAAAAAAAAAAAGACAACAGTGAGTTTGCCACATCAATTGACTTCTTTCACAAAATATTTCTCTGTAGTATGTGATGCTGTTTGATAGAATTTTACCCAGAGTAGAACTTTAAAAATTGGAGTCAATCCTCTCAAACTCTACCACTGCTTTATCAACTAAGTTTATATAATATTCTAAATACTTTATTGTCATTTCAGCAATGTTCACAGCATCTTCACCAGGGATAGACTCCATCTCAAGAAACCACTGTCTTTGGTCATCCATAGGAAGGAACTCCCTAGCCATTCAAGTTTTAAAATGAGATTGCAGCAATTCAGTCACATATTCAGGCTCCACTTCTAAATCTAGTTCTCTTGCTCTTTCTACTGTTATAGGAGATAGAAAGAAATTATTTGGATAGACAGTGTAAAAAGATTCCCTGGCAGAAAACTTTCCATCTAACAAAAAGAAGCTCAGAAATCCCTTTCTAACCTCATGCAGTTCAAAGAAATCACTTCTCTTCTAACAAAGAGCAGCCTGGAAGATTTACCCCAGACAATAAAGCTGCTTCATTTTGGGGGCTCGCCTAGGATTAGAAGGCAAATTCATCAGAAAAGTGCGTAAAGGAGCAGACTCTTTACTTTCATTTCCAAGGTTTCCTGTACTCAGTTTTTATTCTCTCAAAGAACTATTTTAAAAACCAAGCATCTGTCAGCTGATTAATGAGCCATGAGGGCTAGCCACCGGTCTTGAAGACTCAGATGTGAAGCTTGCTGGGGAGGACTTAGTCAATCCCCCAGTACCCTCGGGGTGCTAGGAATGTTGGCTCTGTCCAAGCAAGTTTCCTTTAATGGAGAACTTTGCCGTTGTGCAGGGCTGGAATAGGTCCTGGAGCAACTGAGGATTTCTGACCAGAGCTACACCCTGGTGTTGTCCACAGGCTCCTAGGCTGACCCTAGCCCCAACCAGCCCCCTATGCCCGACTGGTTGTCAGACATAGGATCTCCAAGCTTTCCTATTGCAAATTTTATTTTCCTCCTTTCCTTTCCATGGTCACCATGTCTCCCATCCCCTCTCTGTATGCAATGCTACAAGAGTTTTTACAGCCCTGGGAAATAATTCAATTAGGCAGGCTTAGCAACCAGGCATGCAGGTCAAGGGATTGCTGTTTTTGTGACTTTCTACAGACAGGGGGATTTCATGTTCCAGATCTCAAAGACTATTTAACTCCTAATGATAACACTTCCTGGGGTTGAGTAGGAGGTTACTCCCTACCCCAGTGAATGTCCGTCTCTCCATGTAGGCTATTTCTTTTTCCATGTAAGGAGACAGCACTGCCCAGTCAAACTGGATAGTCCCTCTGTGAGGCGAAGTAACCTTCTCCTGCTAGGAGGTATGCTGTGGGGACAGCTTGCCAAATGTCAGACTTCCCTCTCCATCCTTTGTTTAGAGAGCATATGGAGGCAAAGTTACTGCCTGGTATTTCAAGGCTTACACCTCCACCTAGTGGAATAGGAATCCGCTCCATGCAGAACCTTGTCTGCCCTTTGCCAAAAGCCTCTCTCTAGCTTTCCAATTCTTCTCCCTTTTACGTCCCTCTGCTAGAGACCAAACCTTATGCCCCATCTGTGAACAGGAGAACTCTGCTTTCAGCAGTGAGGAGAAAAATGTCCTCTAAAGACAAATTTTAGTCTCAATACTCTCTCCATTAGCAGGAAGGCCACCATTTGACCCTTATGTTTTCCTAAGACACCTATTGTGTCTACAACTAGAATGGCATCTAAATAGAAAGGGGATTTTATGTCTGAAAGTTAACTGGAACCACCACCTAAGAATAAATTCTCTAGTCCAGTCTATAACAGCAGAGTATAAAGCTCAGTCCAGTACACTCCCTCCATTAAGGGGCCTTGCTCAAATGCAACTGTTACATAATCTCTCCTGAGATTCATCCATCAAGGAGCCATGCAGTTCATACAAGTCGTGGAGGTCAAAGGGCAATTACCAGGCAGAGGAATAAGGTCACATAGGCAATTGTGACTAGCCCTATTGACTTCTTCCTCTGGTCCCATGTTTGAGGGTCATACCTGCAACCACAGGGTGGCAATTATGGTGCTAGGACCCAGGGACCAAGGAGGGAGAACCGTCGGTGGGGGCACCCCCACTGTCTTCCCCTCCACCCTGGGTCACACTAAAAAGAACAAGGAGACTAAGGGATGCCTTTTATCTTGTCTCTTTTCTAGGATGGGTAGCAAGCCATCTTAGGCCCACACTCCTCTGGAGTGCATTTTGAACTCCTTTGACCCAAAAACTCTAAAGAAAAAGCTGCTCATTTTCTTTTGCACAAGGCGACATCTTCTTACCATGGCCTTCTTACCATCTTGGGAATGAACAAACCTAGCCTGTGGAAAGGATCCTTAATTTTAATATTATCCAACTATTAGATCAAGCATTGCACAATCGACTCAGCCCTCTTAGCAATCAAATCAGGCAGGTCTGTGGAGAGTAGTTCCCCTAAGTCAGAAGAGCAAGTTTTGGAGGAACCATTGGAGGTGACTCCTAAGTGCCCCAGTGCTTCCAGTTTCCCTCATCTGGTGCCCCTTCCAACTGCACCATGAGCTCCTCCAGCTCCACCATCTCCAAAGCTCCCCATTGTCCAAGTTTCAATACTACTCCTACAAGAAATGCCAGATGGAAGGGGCACCACTAGGGTACCAGTTCCCTGCTTATTTCAAGACTTTAGACAAATAAAGAAGGATATATGCAGGTTCTCTGATGACCCTGATAAATATATACAGGCTTTCCAAAATTTAACGCAAGTGTTTAATCTTACATGCAGAGATGCTATGTTGCTTCTAGGCCAAACCCTCACTGCAGCTGAAAAGCAGCCAGCTCTTCCAGCAGCAGAAAAGTTCAGAGATGAATAATATATCTTTATAGTAGAACAAAAAGGAAAAGGCGAGATAAGGAAGGTGAGGAAATAATGGAAAAACCACTCCCAATAGGTAGAGAGGCTATACTTCTTGACAATCCTGACTGGATGGCCTGTGACCCCATAGATGAATGGAAAAGGAAACACTTTTAAATGTACATATTAGAGGGCCAAAGGACTAGGACCAAACCTCTTAATTATTCTAAACTGTCCTTGTTGAACCAGAAACCAGATGAAAATCTCCCTGACTTTTTAGGAAGACTGAGAGAGGTTTTAATAAAACACACCTCCTTGTCTCCCAATTCAGTAAAGAAAAGGTTCATTCCTCAGAAAGCCCCCTATATTGGGAGGAAGTTGCTTACACAGGCCCTTTTTAAAATTCTTTCTAGTTTTTCTCACTCTCAAGTTGAAACTTTGCAGTGTGTAAATGACACTGTCCTCTGCACCTAATAATAACAATATTAGTTTGGTTGGGACCAAGGAGGTCTCAGGAAGGCACTAAGACCCTCTTCAATTTCTTAGCTAAAAGGGGATATAGGGTTTCAAAATCTAAAGCTCAGCTCTGTCAGACTTCAGTAAAGAACCTAGGTCTAGTCTTATTAGAAGGAAGTAGAGTACCAGGTGAGGAGAAGATTAAGCCCATTTCCTTTAACAGTTAAGGGGATTATTGGGCATTACTGAATTTTTCAGACCATGAGTACCTGGGTACAGAGAAATGGCTCACCCTTTATACCATCTCATAAGAAAAACTCAAAAGGTTAAAACTCACCCCCTCCCCCACTTGGGAATCTGAGGCTCAAAAAGCCTTTAACCAGCTAAAGCAAGCTTTCCTTAAAATACCAGCCCTCAGTCTTCCTGTTGGGAAAGCATTCAGTCTCTATCTGTCAAAAAGGAAGGAAATGGCCCTGGAAGTTTTAACTATGGCTTCAGGTCCAGATCAAAAGCCAATGGCTACTTAACCAAGGAACTTAGCTTTGTGGCTAAAGTATGGTCAGCCTGCCTCCTGCAAACCACAGTTGTAGTAGTGGTTTTGCTGGTGCCAGAGGCCACTAGGTTAACCATGCGGAATAACTTAACTGTTTACACCCCACACAATATGGCAGGACTGCTGGCCTTTAAGGAAAGGCTTTAGCTAACAGACAATTGCCTCCTCAATTATCAAGCTTTGCTGCTAAAGGGATCTGCAGTCCAGTTGAAAAACTGCCCTTGCCTGAGCCCAGCCACTTTCTCCCAGAGAAAACTGAAGAAACTAAATGTGACTGTGAACAGGTAGTGGTGCAAATTGGGGAAAAAAATGGTAAGAATCACTGTTTACATTCTCTGTAATGGTTTAATTAATGAAAAAGGATTTTCTTAAAGAGCGCTCAGCTTAATTGAAAGTGGATATCCAAGCTATGGGTATATTTTAAAGGCTTTATGTTTTTCTCTTCATAGATCTAGTTTTCCTGGAAAAGGTTTTTTTCTCAGTCAACTGTATTACTTTTTTTCACTGTGTCTTGACACCCTTGGTGCATGCATGAAAGACCCTAAAATAACTTCTGGTGGCCAGGGACTCCTAGGGAAAACAGAAAAGTTGCCACAAATCCCATTTTGGAAAAAAAATCTCTATTTTCCTCATGGAACTCCTGGAATTAGAGGTGAATTAATACCTCTCAAAATCTGTCTTTGTCTTCTGGCTATGCTTGGTTATTAGGCCCTGGAAACTGTCTTCCTGGCCCTGTTCTTAAAGGGTCTCACCAGCAGGCCAATAATCCAATTGGGAAATTAGCAAATGAAAAATCTTATAACTACTGGATCTTCTTCTGTTTGTCTGTGTGGTTACATATGTGTTATGTGTGTAGTGTCTATTTAAAAAGAGCTCTAATTAATTTTCCTAAGAAAAATAAGCACTTAAATCAAATATTTTTAAGAGAAAAGTAAAAGCTGTGGTACCTTTCAGTTCACGGAACTTTAATCTTTAAAAATAAAAACAGTGTTAGGAATTATTGGTAAAATACAAACGTCTTCAAAGGTGTAAATATGTGGTCTAAATTATACAGGTCAGATACTAGGTTTGCTAAATGTTTTAAGGTTGTAACTGCTTCTTTGGCCTTTAAAAACTGTCAACTTACCTGCTTCACAATTGGCAAGGCCTAGGAACATATGGAAGTAACCATGACCCTAACTATGCTGAAAGGAGTCATACTTTATCTGTATCTAGTACATAATTAAAACAACGTATCAGGTTTTACATTGAAGTGAAAAATTGCTAAGAGCTATGACATGTAATTGAGACTACTGAACATGGATTTGCATACGAGGTGAGTAAAAAAAACAGTAAAAGATGTTTTTAGTTAAAGATTATAAGAAGGCATGGACATGTACATTCTCCCTAGAAATAAAGAATTGTCTTAAATTAAATTAAAGTGGAAGGTTTAAGCAAATTGTGAAAAGATTGTAAAAATTAATCTTGCAAAGGAAACTCTGTGTGAAACTATTAACAAAATTCAGAAGGGTATTTTTTTCTGTAAATTAAACTCTGAAATAAAAGCGCAACAAGGTTTTCTTAAAATGCTAATCTGCTCTTTAGCAAAACTCATCAATTATAACAGGTATGTAAAAATCTCACCTTATGGTCAAACTGGTTAAGATTGAATAGAATTGTCTATAAGGTTTCATTAAAAAATTAGGTTTAACATTAATAGCAAATTAATGCAAGGGTAAAATCTAACTTCCTCTCTTGAACATGCTTTTCGTGTAATAGAAAAAGCTGATGAGTGGTTTTTGCTTTTTCAAATTTTTGACTCATCGTTTTGGAAAAATAAGTAACTAATGGTAATCTAAAATTCTATTTCATAATACCAAGTGTTTTAAATTTTGAACATCTTTAACAGGTTCCCAAAATCAAACTTTAGTCTCAAGGTTGTCTTTCCTGATCCCTAGCTTTTGGGTGCTACAGAGGGCCCCTGGAGCATCCGGAAGAGAGGTAAACAGGATTATTTAACATGTTTAGGTACATGGAATTGCCAAAATGATGTCTAATGCACTCCAGGTTATATCTTAGAGAATAATATTAAAATATGTTCCAAAACTGTATGGGATGTCTAAGGTTCTAGTGTCAAAATATGTGCTATTAATCACAATTAAGGTTGTTATGTTGGGTTATTGTAAGCCAATGGTAATAATCAAATTTGTCAATCATGCTCTTGATTGTAACCACCCTGGACATTTTGTCATTTACAGACAATTTTTATCTTGTTTTCATCTTGTTCAAAATAAAAAATAGTTTATAATCATCTGTGGAATTTTAATAGGTGCTCTTAAATGCAGGTTTCTGATAACAGAAAAATGTACAGGACTCATAAAAAGCTGAAATGTTTACAAATATCAAGCAGAATGAGAGTTAATGGAATGGACTGAACTATAGAAAACTAAAGCAATTTTTTGACTTATGCTTGGAACATTGCTGACCCTTAAGGAAACCTGTCTTGAGCTAACTACAGCCTTTAACAACTAAGTAAGGTATACTCCTGTAAACAAGGTTTGAAACATATTTGTTTGCTCTGCCTGGTTCCTCTAGAATTCAGAAACTGGTTGCAAGTATTCTCAACTTATAACAATATAGTTGTTTGCATCAGTGCAATAAGAATCCATTTCGTTTTGCAACAGGACACAATTGGAAAAACTGGTTGTTTTACCAAGACTTTGACTGAAAGGGTGTATTTCCCTTTAAGGAGTCAAGCTTGACTTGCAAAGCCAATAAAAGCCCCTTGGGGAACTGGCCTCACACCTTGTCTACACAGCCCCTGTGTAGACAGGGTTCCTAACCTGCAGTGAGTAAACAATGTCACTAACAGGCCTAGGAACCCCACGCTCTTGGAACCTCAAGAAAAAAGAAGTTTACCCAATTCACAGGTATTTGAAGGTACAAACCCATGGCTGGGCTTGGCTTTAAAAAGTCCCATCTGAGATTCCTTGTGAAACAGAGTTCCATCAAAGCCAATAAAAAAGGCCTATGTAAAGGTGATCACTCTTGCTGTGCTTTATGCAAATAATCAGGACAAGTATAAGACTAAAGTTTATTTTGCAAACAGCTCAGTCCTATCATAAGTTGTTTTTAACAAAATTGAGGACTAAAGAGAAAAATTATCTTTTAAAACTTCATAAATCTTCTATTAACTTCTAGTCTCAGTTGTTTTTAAGTTTTTGCCTACATTTTAAACTAACCATGCTTATTCCTGTGAGCCAACCACAAATCTCCAGCTGTGTCTCAAGGAAAACAAAAAGGGATGGGTAATGTAGAAAATCTTGAACAATGTTCTAGTTCTGGGCAATTATCCTGCAAATCCTGCCAGATAACCTATAACCCAGAGGTTTCGTTTTTTTGGAGAAAGTAAGACCAAGGAAGCTGAACAAAGCCAAGCCCCATACACCCACTTACAACAACACAAACCATCTAAATGGTTCACAGGTATCAAATAAACTCTGTTGTCATGGTTATGGCCTACAGTGCCCCCGCTAATAATGGTAGTCTTAATACTCACATTTGGACCTTATATTCCTTTTTTTTTTTTTTTTTGAGATGGAGTCTCACTCTGTTGCCCAGGCTGGAGTGCAGTAGTGCAATCTTGGCTCACTGCAACCTCTGCCTCCCGGGTTCAAGCAGTTATTTGCCTCAGCCTCCCAAGTAGCTGGGATTACAGGCACCCACCACAACACTCTGCTAATTTTTGTATTTTTAGTAGAGATGGGGTTTCACCATCTTGGCCAGGGTGGTATTGAACTTCTGACCTCGCGATCCACCTGCCTCCGGCTCCCAAAGTGCTGGGATTACAGGCGTGAGGCACCGTGCCCAGCCTTGGACCCTATATTCTAAACCTCCTTGTAAAGGTTATCTCTTCTCACTTACAAGCCATCAAGCTTCAGATGGTGCTGCAAATGGAGCCAAAAATGAAAATGCCATTTACGTCTACCAGAGACACTGAGATCGACCTCAGGAGGAGCCCTAGCTGCTGTTCCCCACACAACACCTCCCTCCAGCAGAAAGTAGCCTGAAGAAGTCATCGCCCAATTCCCCCTAACAGCCATTAGGTATTCCATTCCTGAGAGGAGAAATAAGTTGTAGAAGATAGAAAGAAATTATTTGGGTAGACAGTTCAAGTGAAAAGAGTCCCCTGCAGAAAACTTTCCTTCTAACAAAAAGCATAAATAGCTCCCTTTCTAACCTCATGCAGTTCAAAGAAATCACTTCTCTTCCAGAAAAAGACAGCCTGGAAGATCAGGCTGTAAAACACAGATAAACAACTCAGGCACGGAAGGAGTGGGGAGTCTCCTGGGTGAGCACCAAACTTCACACTTATACAATGAGCCCCAGGAAAAACAGTGCGCCTTAATAAGCACTTTCCTTTCCCCTTAGGCCCACTAAGATAGGGAATCTAGAAGCAGACACAGGCACACTAAGATAGGGAATCTAGAAGCAGACACAGGGGGGATGCCTGCAGCTGTAAGAAGATGTCTGGGAACAGGCACAGAAACTCTCCCTCCCAGATAAGCAAAAAACAAAATACAAACAAACAAAAAACAGCACAGAGCAGGACAGACTGAGTCTGCCTACATGATCAAGGAACAGGGTGAGAGCTGATAGAAAACTCTGCTCTAAAAAGATAGCACACCTGGTCCCAACTAAATCTTTGGGCCTTAGGAAGATAAGACACCCCCTCCTCACTAGTCCACTTATAAAATCCCTGATATTTTTACTACAACTTGGTAACCCACTTCAGACCCCTCTCTATGACAGAGAGCGGTTCTTTTCTTATGCCTATTAAACTCCTGCTCCAATCTCCCTCTCTCTCTCTGTGTGTGTGTGTGTGTGTGTGTGTGTGTGTGTGTGTGTGTGTGTGTGTGTGTCCACGACCCTCAATTTCCTTGGCCGTGAGAGCAAGAACCTCAGTATTTACTCCAGACAGCTAGGCAGCTTCACTACATCTGCAGTTACATCTTCCAATGAAGTCTTTTGAATACCTCAGTCATCCCTGAGGGCTGGAATCAACTTTTTACAAACTCCTATTGATGTTGACCTCCTCTTGTAAGTCACAAATGTTCTTAATGGCAACTAGAATGGTGAATCCTTTCCTGAAGGTGTTCAATGGGCTTTTTGATCCATCAGATGAATCACTATCTGTGGCCGCTATAGCCTTACAAAATGTATTCCTTAGAAAAAGAGACTTGAACATCGAAATTGCTCCTTGATCCATGGGCTGCAGAATGGATGCTATGTTAGCAGTCATGAAAACAACATGAATCTCCTGTACATCTCCATCACGGCTCTTGGGTGACCAGATGCTTTGTCAATGAACAGTAATATATTGAAAGAAATCTTCTTTTTCTGAACAGTAGGTTTCAATAGCGGGCTTAAAATATTCAGTAAACCGTGCTATAAACAAACGTGCAGTCTGTCGTCCAAGTTTTGTGCCATTTGCATAGCACAGGCAGAGTAGATTTAGCATATTTTTTAAGGTCCTTAAGATTTTCAGAATGGTAAATGAGCATTGGTTTCAACTGAAGTCATCAACTGCATTAGACTCTAACAAAAGAGTCAGCCTGTCTTTTGACGTTTTGAAGCCTGGCATTGACTTCTCTCCAGCTACAAAGTTCTAGACAGCATGTTTTTCCCCTATGAGACTGTTTCATCTACATTGAAAATCTGTTGTTTAATGTAACCAAACAACTTCCTCAATTATCTTAGCTGCATTCTAAATCAGCACTTGCTGCTTCACCTCGCTGTTTTATATTGTGGAGACAGCTTCTTTCCTTAAGTCCTCATGAACTGACTTTGGCTAGCTTCCATCTTTTCTTCTGCAGCGTCTTACCTCTCTCAGCCTTCATAGAATTGAAGAGAGGTAGGGCTTTGCTCTGGTTTAGGCTTTGGCTTAAGGGAATGTTGTGGCTGATTTGATCTAGCCAGACCACACAAACTTTCTTCACATCAGCAAAAGCCTGTTTTGCTTTCTTATCATCTATACGTTCACTGATGTAGCATTTTTAACTTTCCTCAAAAACGTTTTCTTTGCATTCAAGATCTGGATAACTGTTTGGCATAAGAGGCCTAGATTTTTGCCTATCTTAGAGGTTTTCCACAAGCTTCACTAAGCTTAATCATTTCTCTCCTCTTTTTTTAACACACAGAGTCTTGATGTGTAACCCAGGTTGGAGTGCAGTGGCACACTCATGGCTCACTGCAGCCTCGACCCCCTGGGCCCAAGTGATCCTCCTATTTCATCCTCCCTAGCAGCTGGGACTACAGGCATGAACCCGTATGCTCAGCTAATTTTTTAATTTTTTTGTAGAGATGAGGTTTTGCTATATTTCCCAGGCTGGTCTCAAACTCCTAGGCTCAAATGATCCTCTCGCCTAGGCCTCCCAAAGTGTTGTAATTAAATGTGTGAGCTAAGGCACCTGGCCCATTTCTAGCTTTTGATTTAAAGCTAGAGACGTGTGATTCTTCCTTTCACTTAAATGCTTACAAGCCATTGTTGGGTCATTAATTGGCCTGGTATTAATACTGTTGTGCCTCAGGGAATAGGGAGACCCAAGGAGAGGGAGAGAGATTAAGAAATAGCCAAGCAGTAGACCAGTGAGAACACACACGTTTATTAAGTTCACCATTTTACATGGGCATGGTTTGTGGTGCTCCAAATCAATTACAGAGGACATCAAAGATCACTGATCACAGATCACCATAACAGATGTAATAATAATGAAACCATTTGCAGTATTGCAAGAATTACCAAAATGTGACACAGAGGCACAAAGTGAGCACATGCTATAAGAAATATAGTGATGAAATAATTGCTTAATGTGGGGTTGCCACAACTTGTTAAAAAGGAAATGCCTGAGAAGCACAATAAAGTGAAGTCCAATAAAATGAGGTATGTCTTCATACCATCAATCTTCTACTATAATTTTTGAAGTTGCTAATGGATCATATGTTAAAAAAGGAACAAAAAGAACATAGATATAAATAATAGTGTAAAGACCCATGTATTAAATCATTTAATTCTAATAATAACCCTAGGATGCAGGTCTGTAATTGCCTTCAGTTTACAAGTGAGGAAAGTGATGTTTGAAATGGGTAAATTACTTTCCAAGTTTCACAGGTAGTAATAGTAGGACCTGCATTCAAGTTGAGTCGGTGTTTTCTTCAGAGCTCTTACCTATGGCCGCTCAGTTGTTTTAAATTGAGAAATGAAGAAGAAAGTGTCAAGTGGAGGATAATTCATTCCAGGCACCATTCTTTATGCAGTTTCATTTACTTTGAATATGCACCATCCCAAAATATCTACTTACTATGTATCTGAAACCTCCTGTGCAATGTCATATTAAGGTACAGATCTACTTTTATTCTAAACAGAAACATTGTAACCATTTGTCTTTTAAAAATAAGGAACATTGCATATTACATTTCAGCTTTTTTAGAACTAGATCTATAAGATTTTTAATATGAGTTTTTAAATTATTATAACTGATATAATAGTACAAGTTTATGGGGTGCAGTGTGATGTTTCAATACATGTATATATTATATAATAATCATATCATGGTGATTAGCTTATTTCAATGTTATGATAACATTTCAAGATTCTCTCTTCCAGCTACTTTGAAATATATAGTACATTATTATTAACTGTAGTCACCCTACTGCACAATATAACACCAGAAATTATTCCTCTTATCTAGCATTATCTTTGTACCAGTTGAACAAATTCTCTCCATTCCCACTCCTCTCCTGATTCACCAGTTTCTAGTAATCACTATTCTACTCTGTACTTCTAGGAGTTCTCTGAGAGGGACAGAACTAATAGGAGAGTTTATTGAGTATTAACTTACACAATCACAAGGTCCCACAATAGGCTGTCTGCAAGCTGAGGAGCAAGGAGAGCCAGTCCAAGTCCCAAAACTGAAGAAATTGGAGTCCAATATTCAAGAGCGGGGAGCATCCAGCAAGGGAGAAAATGTAGGCTGGGAGGCTAGGCCAGTCATGCCTTTCACATTTTTCTGCCTGCTTTATATTCACTGGCAGATGATTAGATTCTGCACACCAGATTAAGGGTAGATCTGCCTTCCCCAGCCTACTGACTCAAATATTAATCACTTTTGGGCAACACCCACACAGACACACCCAGAATTAATACTGTATATTCCTCAATCCAATCAAGTTGACACTCAGTATTAACCATCATAAGTCCACCCTTGTCAACTTGACCCCATAGACATGTCCTGAGATCATACATAATCTTCAAATAAAGAAAATAGTGAGGTCATAATTACACTTAACATAATACAGCTATCCTTCGTACAACTAAAATGGCACCAATTCCCAACCCAAATACTATTACATAAAGTTAACAATACTTAAATGCTGATATGGAGTCAATAAATCTTATGTTACATGATAAAGGAAAAGGAAAAAAATCAAAATATTTTCTTATTACAAGTGTATACATGCAGAAACATGTTTTTAACAAAAGAAGGAGGAAATACTCATGACACAGTCCTCGTTTCTGCAGCCGGTACATAATTGTAGCTGGTAACGATGACTACCTTCTTCTACTACCCATTCCGTATTCCTGTTGCCTTCAGCAAGCACCTCAGCAGGTTGTGGTTTTTTTCCTGGTGGGGTGACCTAAACCTTCATTCCTGAAGGGTCTGGATCATTTGTAATCCTGCCTGGATTGAGCTGTCATAGTTTCCCATTGACCTTAATCACAGGGCATGGTAATACTAAAAGACGCCCTAATGGATCTCCTGTATTCCATGCATACTCTTCCTTACCTCTATTGTGGAGTAGTAGACTGATTTCATCTTGATAGTCTGCATCAATCACCCCAGCCAACACTGTAACTCCCTTCTTAACCTGTTAACTTAAAGGTAGGAAGAGCCCAAAGTGTCCAGGTGCCGAACTTAACTTTCAGTTCAATGGAATTGTTGTTGTGTCTCCTGGTGGCAACGTTCCTCCCTTTGGAACTAAGACCTCTAGACCAGCAGAACGTAATGTTGCAGGAACAGGAAGCAAAAATTTTGCTAGTGGCTCACTAGTGGTGATGGTGAGTGGTGCCACTTCCACTTCCACCCCTTGATTCCTGGACCCATGAATCCTGGCTACGAGAGAAACAGTACCATATATTGGATGGTGATTCAGAGCATACATGGCCTTCTGGAGAACTTTGCCCCAGCCTGGCAGAGCATTGTCACCTAGTTGGTGTTGTAATTGTGACTTCAAAAGACCATTCCACCGTTCTATCAATCCAGCTGCTTCAGGATGATGGGGAACATGGTAAGACCAGTGAATTCCATAAGCCTGAGCTCACTGCTGCACTTCTTTAGCCATAGAGTGCTTTCATCAGAGGCAATGCTGTGTGGAATACCGTGATGGTGGATAAGGCATTCCGTGAGTCCATGGATGGTAATCTTGGCAGAAGCATTGCATGCAGGATAGGCAAACCCATATCTGGAGTAAGTGTCTATTCCTGTGGGGGCAAACCTTTGTTCTTTCCATGATGGAAGAGGTCCAATATAATTAATCTGCCACCAGGTAGCTGGCTGATTACCCAAAGGAATGGTGCTATATCAAGGGCTTGGTGTTGATCTCTGCTGCTGGAAAACTGAGCACCCAGCAGTGGCCATAGCAAGGTCAGCCCTGGTGAGTGGAAGTTCATGTTGCTGAGCCCATGCATAACCTCCATCCCTGCCACCATGGCCTCTTTGTTCATTGGCTCATTGGGCAATGACAGCGGTGGCTGGAGAAAGAGGCTGAGTGGTGTCCAGAGAATGGGTCATCCTATCCACTTGATTATTAAACTCCTCCTCCACTGAGGTCACCTGTTGGTGAGCATTCACATGGGATACAAATATCTTCACAGTTTTTGACCACTGAGAGAGGTCCATACACAAACTCCTTTCCTAAATTTCTTTGTCACCAATTTTCCAATCATACTTTTTGCAAGTCCCTGACCATCCAGCCAAACCATTGGCTACACCTCATGAATCAGTATATAATCGCATATCTGGCCATTTCTCCTTCCATGCAAAGTGCACAACCAGGTGCACTGCTCAAAGTTCTGCCCACTGGGAAGATTTCCCTTCACCACGGTCCTTCAGGGATGTCCTAGAAATGGGCTGTTGTGCTGCAGCTGTCCACTTTTGGGTGGTGCCTGCATATCGTGCAGAGCTGTCTGAACCAGGCCCTAGTCTTCTCTTCTCTTCCTCGGTCAACTGATCATAGGGAACTCCACATGAGGCCATTGGTGCAGGCTGGGGGAGAGAAGGCAGGGTGGCTGGGGTGAAAAGACCATGGGCATTTAAGCTACTTCCTCATGTAATTTACTTGTGCCTCCAGGACTGCTCAAGCGTGCCCAATCATGTATATACAACTTCCATTTGATGATGGAATGGTGCTGTGCATGACCCACTTTATGGCTAGATGGGTCAGAAAGCACCCAGTTCATGATAGGCAGTACAGGTTGCATAGTGACTTGATGACCCATAGTCAAACATTCAGTTTCCACCAAAGCCCAGTAACAGGTCAAGAGCTGTCTCTTAAAAGGAGAGTAGTTATCTGCAGAAGATGACAGGTTCTTGCTCCAAAATCTTAGAGGCCTTTGCTGTGATTCCCCTATGGGAGCCTGCCAAGGGCTCCAAACAGCATCCCTATCTGACACTGAAACCTCAAGCACCATTGGATCTGCTAGGTCATATGTGCCAAGTGGCAGACAACTTGCACAGCAGCCTGGACCTGTTGCAGAGCCTTCTTCTGTTCTGGACCCCACCCAAAACTGGCAGCCTTTGGGGGTCACTGAGTAAATGGTCTGGAGTAACACACCCAAATGAGGAATGTATTGCCTCCAAAATCCAAATAACCCTACTAGGCATTGTGCCTCTTTCTTGGTTGTAGGAGGGTCAAATACAGCAATTTATTCTCTACTTTAGAATATCTCAACAGGCCCCAAACCACAGAACCCCTAGAAATTTTACTGAGGTAGATTATCCCTCAATTTTAGTCAGATTTATTTCCCATCCTCTGGCATGCAAGTGTCTCCAATGTGTTTACTACTTCTTGCTCCCTGGATCCAATCAGCATAATGTCATCAATGTAATGGACCAGTGTGATATCTTCTGGAAGCAAAAAGGGACTAAGGGCTCTCCAAAAATATTATGACAAAGACGGAGAGTAGAGATACCCCTGTGGTAGGACAGTAAAGGTATATTGCTGTCCTTGCCAGCTGAAGGCAAATTGCTTCTGGTGGGGCTTATAAACAGGAATGGAGAAAAAGGCATTTGTGCAGTCAATGGTTGCATACCAGGTACCAGGTGATGTGTCATTTTGCTCAAGCAATCAAACCACATCTGGTACAGTAGCTGCAATTGGAGTCACCACTTGGTTAAGATTACAGTAATCCACTGTCATTCTCCAAGATCCATCTGTCTTCTGTACAGGCCAAATGGGAGAATTTAACAGGGATGTAGTGGGAATCACCACCTCTGTGTCTTTCAAGTCCTTAATGGTGGCACTAATCTCTGCAATCCCTCCAGGGATGTGATATTGTTTTTAATTTACAATTTTCTAGGTAGAGGCAGCTCTAATGGCTTCCATTTGGCCTCTCCCACCATAATTAGTCCTCACCCTACCAGTCAGGGAGCCAATGTGGGGGTTCTGCCAGCTGTTAAGTATGTCTATGCCAATTATGAATTCTGGCACTGGGTGAATGACCACAGGATGAGTCCAGTGACTCATTGGACCCACTGTAAGTCAGACCTGAGCTAAAACTCCATTAATTACCTGACCTCCATAAGCCCCTACTTTAACTGAAGGACCACATTGACATTATGAGTTGCCTGGAATCAACATCAGCTCAGAGCCAGTATCCACTAGTCCCCAAACGTCTGATCATTTCCCTTTCCCCAGTGCACAGTTACCCTGGTAAAAGGCCAGTGGTCTCCTTGGGGAAAGATGGGTGAAAGATTCACTACATAAATTGTTGGTAATGTAGTGTGGTCCTTCCTCAAGGGGACCCGGCCTCCCCTTCATTCAAGAGCTTCTGGTTCTGTAAACTGGCTCAAGTCTGGAAATTGATTAAGGGGCCATGATTCTCTGTTTTTATAATTCAAGTTAGTATTTTGTCCATTCGACCTACAAGTTTTCTGTTTGTATAATTTAAGTGGGAATGCAGTAAGCTTCCCATCAATTTCACTTCTAGGAATACTGTGATTAATTAGCCAATGCCAGAGCTCTACACGATTGCTGCTTTGCCTCTTTTGTCCATGATGGTAGCTATGCCCACCTTGCCTTTGACAGTCGAGTGCTGCCACTTGGCCTCTGCCACCTAAGGATCCAATTATTCCCATTGTATTTAAATTTTGTAGCTGAGTAATTGTGGTTCCCACCTTTAGGGAACCTAATATGCAGAAAAGGACAACTATAATGCTCTTCAAAAATGCAAGTACTGCTCTCATAAATCTATTTCACAAGGCATGGGTCAAGGGTATATCTTCTGGACCCTCCCAGGTGCGATGAGCAGGTCTAAAGTGATGAATACAATCTACGATCCCAATCTTCCTAAGCCTTTGGATCCCTTCCTCTACATTAAACCAAGGGAGATCAGGCATTTCCAGCTCTCTCACAGTGGGCCATCTTTTAATCCATATTTCAGCTAACCAAGCAAGTAAACTATTAAAACCTTTTTTTAACTCCCTGAGCTGCAAAATTAAGTGCAGAGTCCCTACTTAGTGGGCCCAAATCAATAAATTCTGCCTGATCCAATTCTATGTTGCTTCCACCATTATCCCATGCCCTTTGTATCCATTCCCATTCCTGTTCTCCAGATTTCTGTTTATGTAATTTGGAGAACTCAGACAGTTGTTTTCAAGTGTAGCACACCTCCTCAGGGGTCACACTTTCAACCTCACCTCTAGGGGCCCACCATGACTTTAGTCTAGTGATAGGTCTAGAAGCAAACAGAGGTGTTGGGGGTGGCTTCTGAGGAGAATCAACATTATCCTGTCTGGCAACTGCCTCACTGGAGGCCATCACTGTTACCTCAGGCAGTGCAGGGTTTATCTCCTCAGACA
This sequence comes from Homo sapiens, assembly GCF_000001405.40. Classification (NCBI taxonomy): domain Eukaryota; kingdom Metazoa; phylum Chordata; class Mammalia; order Primates; family Hominidae; genus Homo; species Homo sapiens. Next base: position 86,307,571 of record NC_000023.11, on the reverse strand, counting down.
AAGGTGGAAAGGCTGATGGCAGCATGGGTCAGGGAGGGGATGTTGCCACTACTGGAGATGGGAAAGCTGTTCCTTCTGGCAAAAAAGCTTCATCAGAATTTACAAACACAGTGTCCCCAGCTTCATCAGGGTCTTCTCACACATCCCCATTCCAAGTTGCAGGGCCCCATTATTTTCCAATAAATGCCCTCACTTTAACAGTAGACACCTGGCAAGGAAGTCCATGCATCTTTCATTGCAGGTCAACCACTTTCATGATAAGAACTTGTGTCTATTTTTCTACATTGTCAGCTCTTTCTCAATAGGAGATAAGACTCTCACTCAGGGCAATCTTAGCAGATTTGAGGCTCAGTATCTGCTTCTGAAGCCAGGAGACAGAATCCTTGAGTTCATCATTTTGTTTCATCATTTTTTCCACTGAACTTCGGAGCAACAACCAGATTCATTATGTTCCTTGGTTCTCCATATATGGCCAATGATATTATGTGTAGAGTCACTAAACTCCTTGCCTTTCATGAGCAGTGAATCAGGAGTGTCAAATGCATTTATTTTGCGTAACTATCTAAATAGTTCATGCCAAGGAATATTGGTGTTCTCCATGCTATTAAAAGTAGAGTCCTTAGCATTTTTGGGTCTACTCATATTAAGCAGCCAACTTCAGAAACCCCAAAACCAAGGGAAAAACTTCATCATTTATATTATGTTCCTCTAGAATCACCCCACTTCTGGTACCAAAATCTTTATTAGTCAAGGTTCTCTGGGAGGGACAGAACTAATAGGACATATATATGAGTTTATTGAGTATTAACTTACATAATCACAAGGTCCCACAATAGGCTGTCTGCAAGCTGAGGAGCAAGGAGAGCCAGTCCAAGTTGCAAAATTGAAGAACTTGGAGTCCAATGTTTGAAAGAAGGAAGCATCCAGCACAGGAGACACATGTAGGCTAGGAGGCTAGGGTCGTCTTGCCTTTTCATGTTTTTCTGCCTGCTTTGTATTTCCTGGAAGCTGATTAGATTTTGCCCACCAGATTAAGGCTGGATTTGCCTTCCCCAGCCCACTGACTCAAATGTTAATCTCTTTTGGGCAACACCTACACAGACACACCCAGGATTAATACTCTGTATCCCTCAATCCAATCAAGTTGACACTCAGTATTAACCATCACAGACATCAACTTATTTAGGTTTCACATATGAGTAAGATGATGTGATATTTGTCCTTTGGTGCCTGGCTCATTTTACCTAACATAACGTCCTCCAGGTTTATCCATGTTGCTGCAAATAACAGGATTTCATTCTTTTTTGTAGCTGAGTAACATTCCATTGTTTATAAATACTACATTTTCTTTAGCTATTCATCTTTTGATGGACATTTAGGTTGATTTCATATCTTGGCTAATATAAATAGTGCTGGAATAGAGACGGGAGTATAGGTATCTCTTTGACAAATTAATTTCAATTTCTTTGGATATATATTCAGCAGTAGGATTGTTAAATTATATGTAGTTCTAATTTTCATTTTTTGAGAAACCTCCATAGTATTTCCCATATGACTAAACTAATTTACATTCCCACCAACAGTGTATAAAAGTTCTCTTTTAACCGTATCATTGCCAGCATTTGTTAGTTGTTTTGTCTTTTTGACGATAGCCATTCTAACTGGTGTGAGATGACATCTCATTGTGGTTTTGATTTGCATTTCCCTGATGTTGAGTGATGTTGAAAATTTTGTCATATACCTGCTGGTTATGTGTCATTTGTATATCTTCTTTTGAGAAATATCTATTCAGGTCTTTTGCCTATTTTTAAATCAGATTATTTAGGGTGTTTTTTTTTTCTGCTATCGAGTTGTTCGATTTTGTTATATATATTCCTGATATCGACCCCTTGTCAGACGCATTGTTTATAAATATTCTCTCCCATTCTATATGTTGTCTCTTCACTCTATTATTTCCTTTGCTATGCAGAAGCATTTTAGTTTGATGAAATCCCACTTGTCTGTTTTTGCTTTTGTAGTCTATAATTTGGGGTCTTACCCAAAAAATCCTTGCCCTGAACAATATCATGAAGCATTTCTCCTGTGCTTGTTCTTTTAGTAGTTCTATAGTTTCGAGCCTTACATTTGAGTCTTTAATCCATTTTGAGTTTATTTTTTTTTCTAGGCAAGAACTTTAATGAATTGAACTGTTATTGACAACATCAAAAAACAGTGTAATATATACAAAATTATCATTTTATATCAGGAGAAAATTTCACATGTTGTCAACAGTACACATCTGGCTGACCGCTAAGGAGCTGGCATAGTACATACACCCATGACAGGCCAACTGGGACATTGGTGAACATGCTGTGCCTCACTACAAATTCTCCTTTCCATGAGAATTGTACAGAAGGAGAGATATAGAGCGTGTACCCCCCAAAAAGGGTGAGGCTGGTGACTCTGTCAGAAAGCACTCTCAGGGGTCCCTGTGCCCAGTGCTCAGAACTTCAGGGTGATGACCAGCCAATACTTGGGCTGCTTTTCTGTCACAGTGCTTGTCAAAGCTCAGCTGCACTTCAGCCTCCATGGCCTCGATCTTGGTGGCACTCTCCCAAACAAATGTTTTATTCTCAGTCTGTTGCTGCTCACTGGGCCTCTTAGTCAGGGGCTCCACTGACCAGTAGATGTTGTAGTACAGGTCGTGGTCAGCGTTCATGTAGTCATCCAGGTATTCTGCATCCAGCTGCTGCTGCTACCATTGGTCTTCTCTGTGCCTCTGGGTCTCTGCAAAGTACTGGCAGAGGTCCTGGGTGACTTCCATATTGCTTAGGTCGCATTCTACCACCCCATCTGACTTTCTCTCCATCTCCTCCTCTTTAGGCTAAGCTTGGTCTTCTCTTGTGGATGCCTGGATCCTACTGCTGTCATGTGGATGCTGTCCAGACCTTCTGAAATCTGTAGAACGGAGGTAGGAGTCCTGCCAGGCCATGTGATGGTCAGAGAAGGACATAGGATATCCAGCCTGGTTATCGTAAGCTCTTCAGGGAAGAACTGCAGGAGGAAATGACCATGGAATACTGAAATAGGATTCCACAGCCTTCCTACAGGCATTCTGGTGGCTTTGCATCCAAGCCATGACATGATGGTAATGTTGCCAATAACGTAAATACACCTGATGAGAGAACCAAAACTCAGTAGCTCTCAAAGTTGATTCCTTTACTGCCATCACTGATTATGAAAGTCCAAATGGGCTCCAAAATTCATGAGTACACAGCTTGCAGCTTCTGAGCAGTGGGCAAGCAGGGTCCCATTTTTCACTGGAGAGACAGAGGAGTAGTCAGGGGAAGGCTGTCGCCAGGGCAACTCCGAGGTGATTTTTGTGTAGGGTAAGAGAGAGGGGTCTAGTTCCATTCTTCTACATGTGGATATCCAGTTTTCCTAGCACCATTTATTGAAGCAGCTGTTCTTTCCCCCATTGTGTGTTCTTGGCACAAAAATCAGTTGGCCGTAAATGCATGGATTTATCTGGGCTCTTTATTTTGTTTCAGTAGTTTATCAGTCTGTTTTTATGTCAATGGCATGCTGTTTTGGTTACTATAACTATAGTATATTTTGAAGTCAGGTAGTGTGATACCTCCAGCTTTGTTCTACTCAAGATTGTTTTGACTATTCTGAGTCTTTTGTGGTTCCATACGAATTTTCAGATTGTGTTTTTTATTTCTGTGAAGAATGTCATTGCTAGGAATTGCACTGAATCTGTAGATCGCTTTGAATAGTATTTATTATTTTTAATAGATGAAATTCTTGCAAGATTCACTCTATAAGTCAGGTTATGGGTACAGAAAGATATATATATATATAGTATGTTCACATAATTATACATATGTGCTTATATATCATTACAGGTAGATTGCTTTTGTTAAATGAATGAATGAAATATTGATGAGATTTGCAGAAACATAAAATCCAAAGGTAGAAAGAAATATTAAAAGTCATCTGGTGTACCCCACTTCCCAACTGATACTTGAGTCCTCTCTTCAGTACCCCACTAACTGGTCATCCATCCTCTGATTGAACATTTCCACTTGATGGTAAATGCACCATTTGTTTAAATAAGTCTATTCTGTCTTTGGACAGCTCAGACTAATATGTTCTACTTCACATTTGGACCCATATTGCTTTTTGTTTAACCTCACCCTCTATAGCCAATATAACAAATGGAAACGGAAAGCTCTGTGGTCAAAAAGTGAACGCAAAAAGAATGTCTGCTTTCAGAGTTCTCATAAAACCAGATTACAGACCCATGAACGTGTCCAGTTTTAGGAGTGAGGAAACTTGGGACCACAGAGTAACCTTGTGCAAGACCATAAGGACTACTTAGTAGCAGTAAAGCTAAAATTCAAGTCTCCTGATTCCTGGTGCAGTGCTCTTTATGTATGTTTTCCTCCAATATCCTTAGTGGTTTAAGAACATGGACTATGGGGCCACAATGTCTGCGTTTGAATCCCACCTCCACAACATACTAGATGTATAATTTGAGGCAAGCTACTTACCTGCTCTGTGCTTCAGTTTCTCATCTGCAATATGAAGATAATAATAGTACCTCTTCATACATTTTGGGAATATTGTTTGTGTTAGCATTGCTATCTTCTTAATAAGTGCTGAGAACATAGTAAAATTTACTCATTACATATTGGTTATTATTATCATTTATCATCTTTTCAAACTTGCAAAACACTGCACAGCCATATTACCAATGAATTCCTAAGAATCTTTAGGCTCCCCTAAAACATATTTGACTCTGGAGCATTCCTTCTTTCCTTTGAGGAAAAAACAATGTAAGCTTCCTAATTATTATATATAAAATATATGTGCTATATATAGATATATAAATAATACATAATCTAAAAGCTATTGTATACTACTTTCAAACTTCTCTCAAAGAAATCAGTCCTTTTAACAGTTTATTAAATCTATGGTCCTGGCAGAGACTTGGGTAAACTTTCTGACTTGGGTACCAAAGAGCAAACCTTTTCTTCCCAGCACACCCAGAAGTTTCTAAGTGCACTCAGGAGAAGATATAAATAAAGAATTGCAAGCAAATATAAAAAGAATGGGCAAATCACCATTTTAAAAGGTCATCTGTTACCCCATGGAAATGTTTGAAAAGGTATACAATTAATTCTCTATAATTCAGGTCAATGAAAACAGTAGCCAACTAATCATTTTTTCCACTAGTTCTCTTTATAAATAAATGTCAACTATCAAGTGCCAACTCACGGCTAGAACACTACATGCATAAACCTATTATTAGCCAGCTCCTAGTTATATTAACTGGAAGATTTCAAGGCAGAAGGAAGTTAGATACTAAGGAGATCTACTTTCTATATTTATGCAAAGTTAGGAAGTCAAAGATTGCATCTACAGCTATTTAAAATGAAATAAAATAATAAAATAAAATAAAATATATATGTATAAAACCCTGTCCTTTTCCTTTCATTTTTTTCTTCATGCATTAAGTACAAGACATTTAAGCCAAAATTTTCTTCAGACAGAAGTCAAAACTTTCCCAGATAAAAAGGACATTAACTACACATTAACACTGGGTCAAGTGGTAATTGCAAATTCTCCTTATTTATTTTAAGGCTTTGTAAAACAGCAGAAGAGAAAGAGGTGGGAAGAATATAAGTAGAATCAAAGTATGGATACACTGGACTCCCATAAGTATAGACCATAGCATTTGAAAAATTTTAGAAATCCTTCTGTGTCTGTGCCATATTCAGGACAATTAATATACTGCAAATATACTGATAAGATAAAAATTCCAACCATGTATCAAAAACGCAGTTGACAACTTGTACATTATGCAATTATGACTGTCATTTTACTACTGTTATTAATTTATTAGTGTAATTACATTTTTTCAATGTCATAATGTGATAATAAAGGATTTGTCATTACTAAGTTAACCTCCAAACATCTCTGACCTCAGGGGAGGTAGTTGTACACTTTCAGTCCAAAATGAGCTGTCAGTTACCACAATGACATTTTGATGACTACATTACCTTGTAATTAAATGTCTCAACAAACTTCTGCTTTTGATTGACAGGTAGTTAAGACTATCATTGACCACAGGGCAGTTTTTTTTATATTTCAAGAATAATCTTCCTTGAATTTCAAAAATAATTTTTTATCACTGAAGCAGAAGGGCAAGGCTTTAAAATTAAAATGTCTTCAGTAATATATTTATGAACCTGTATTTGTCACTGATAAAACAAAGAAAATTCTGCTACATTAGATGTATCTGTTGCACAATCCATTGTCTTGCTGGAAAACTTTGACTAATAAATTTTTATGATGTTCTCATACAAATAATTCCATCACTTTTCTCTCCCATGCCAAATTTTTCCATGACTGATGTAAGAGAAAGCCCCAAATAATGGATTTTTGTATATGCTTTATAATCTTTATTCCTCTTACCATTCTTAAGTCCAATGTGTTACTTCAGTATTTGAAGGGCAATATAGGTCACAAATAACACAAACATTGTATTCTTTTTCCCTTCTTCCAGTTACCTTCCTTAATAAGTGAACAACTAAAGGAATCCACTTCATACTACATTGTTCACAATATGGCCAATAACCTTTGTACTGCTTCAGTTTGAAATAAAACTTTTCTTAGCTGGTGCTAAATATTTATTCCATTTTAATAATTTTTAAATCAAAGGAAGCTGAATGAGCACAGAAAATGGCAAAATACAATTTCCATGTGCAATACCCTGACTAATATAACTATAAATTGTATAGTCAAGTATTCAAGTATAAAGCCACTGAGCATTTAAATGAAGAGGACCCACCTGAATTTTATTTTTGCTTATTTTTATTGGGCTAAACATTTTTTTATTATTATACTTTAAGTTTTAGGGTACATGTGCACAATGTGCAGGTTTGTTACATATGTATACATGTGCCATGTTGGTGTGCTGCACCCATTAACTCATCATTTACATTAGATATATCTCCTAATGCTATCCCTCCCCCCTCTCCCTTCCCCCACCCCACAACAGGCCCCGGTGTGTGATGTTCCCCTTCCTGTGTCCATGCGTTCTCATTGTTCAATTCCCACCTATGAGTGAGAACATGCAGTGTTTGGTTTTTTGTCCTTGCGATAAATTAAGAACTGGAATACTAATAAAATAAACTTTTTAAAAACAAGTCTTTCTCATGATTAAAATAAAAGTAATACAAAATGAGAAAATCCATTAGTAAAGTGAAATAGCATTAAAACCCAACTTTATCAGTATGAAATTAAATATACACATTTTTCTTAAGCACTATTATGCAATTTTTTTTTTCGCAAAGAAGTAAAGTTCAGTTCCTTCAAGGTTCTTCATTAAATATTCTATTTGAGATGCCTATATAATTAACGGCTAATGGGTACAAACATAGAGTTAGAATAAGTCCTAATGTTCTATACCAGGGTAGGGTGACTATAGTTAACAACAATGTATTGTATATTTCAAAACAACTGAAACAGAGGACTTGAAATGTTCCCAACACATAGAAATGCTAAACACTCAACATGTTGGATACCCATCTAGTTGACCATTACACATTCTATGCATGTAACAAAAGTTATCATGTATCCCATAAATATGTACAAATATCATGTACCAATAAAAAATTTAAAAAATACAATGATAATCTCTAAAATAAGTTTTATGTTGTTACTGTCAGCCAACTGTGAATTTTATGGAAATATATACACCTTCTCAAAAAGCTGACAAATGGAGGAGGCCAAAGGGGGAGAAATGCCACAAATGGCCCTGATTTTAAGCCAAGCTCTATGTGGATGCATATTATTTGAAAATTTTTGCTTCTTCATTTGAATGAACACCGACATTTTTTTCAAGTTATGAAATAAACCTGAGACTTCTCAGAATATAAAACAAATTTTGGGTGGTAGTCACTCTCTTCCCCATTGTAGGTAAAACAAACCCAGCCTAAAGCAACCATAACAGCTCCCCATTGTCCTGAATATTCCTTAAGTAATCATATCTCAACACACATATCTTTATGAGATGCAAAAAGAAATTCAATAGCTAACATAGATCCAGCAAAGAAGTACTGAGCATCTACTTTGTGCTGAGCACTGTCAGAATCACTGCTAAGCTGAACATGATCCATTATACACATGTCACTGGATATAAGGAAGCTGAAGTAGAATGAAAACCCCCTCATTGGGGGCATGGAAAAGTAGAGAGAACTGCATCACAGTGTAACATAAGAGTCATAACAAAATTGTCTCTTATTTGTCATAAAAGGTTCATCCACAGTAGCTTAATTATAAAAGGCAACCAACATTACGTATTCTCCTTCAAAAAAGATACTGTATATTCACAAATAACATTTGTGTACCTTATAAAAGTAAAGCTTGAAGCAACTAAAATATTTGGGTACAAATCAGAAATTGTTTTAAAAGAAAGATGTTGACAGAGTAAAAAGAAACTTTCTAAACTCAATATATCCCAGAATCTAAAGATACAAATTAAGAAATAATGCAAGTTGACTATGGACTGAACAAAGACAATACTTTGATTACATTTCCTCTTAGCCAATGAACAGGGTGGAGTGTCCTTATCATTCAACAGCACAGTTTCACAGTCACAACAAATTTTAAACTTCACTGTGGTTTTCTTCAAACTATTATGAAAATTATTTAAATCTAGTAATATACAAAAGGTGCAGAAAAACAAAAAGAAATATGAATAAGCCAAGCAACTCAAAGCTAAAATAATTTTTGCCATCATTTTACAAGTTGGACCTGAACTCTGAAACCTTTTTTGTAAAAATAATTCAGAGATACCTGGAATGATTGATCTAATTAGGTACTTTTCAAAAGTATAAAGATCATCTCTACAATGACATTTTTAACAGAGAATTAAAGAATTGTGGATGAAAATGACTTAGTTTGGGGTTTATTGAAATAGTACTACTCCTTGTGGCTATATTGTCTTTAAACTAAAAACCTAAGTAAGCTCCATAAAATGCACTTTACCCAGTTTATTCTATTATAAAACTTCATAAATATGTCAACAAAACCACTTGGTCATTTATCTAAGAGGCCACAGTGAGATATCGTTAGAGCAAACAAGAGAATTAAGAGTGTTTCTTGTAAGCCTCTATTAACTACAATATTCATATTAGTCAGTTGTGCAGAAAAATAGAGTTAAAAGAGGAAGCAAATAAAATATAACATGTTTTCTTAAATCAGAAATCAGCCTCCCACAAAAATCATAAGAAGGAAACAGAAACTGGAGGTAGACCAAGAGGGTCAAATCACTACTGAGAATTATGGAAATATATCATTTTGGATGACAGCCATTGTACCAGCCATCTCCATCTAATGATGCTGCAACACACTACTACAATTCAAACATTTCTAGGGCTCTAAAGCAAAACCAATACAAACAATGCGCTCAGGAACCACATTATATCCTCATATTATGAAATGAATACCTATAACATGGAAACCAATTCATTTATACAAATGTCACTTCAATAGAAGGCAGAAGGCAAGGAGGTTCACTGCTGGCCAGGCCTGAGTCACCTGTGGAACTATCTTGTCAAGTTTTATATGTCATTCTTAGAGTAACTATACATCCCAATTTCCCTGAACCTGCTTCCTTGTTTATGCCTGTTGTTGTGATGTAATTATTAATAGCGGTCACTTTCACTTTCAAAAGTGTTCCAGTTTGGAAAATAAAGTACACGATTTCCCTATTAATATCCCATTGACTATATATAAATGTCTACAATTATCTACTAGAGGAAATATTTTTACTTTATCCTTTATCCAGAGATTGTACTTCTGATAACAATAAGAATAGAGCATGAAACATTTTCTAAGCCAACATAATATGGTGTGACCATTGAGCGTTATCAGTAACAATTCAGCTATCACCAATTTAACACACTTAGCCCCTGATTCACCTGTAGTAGAGTAATTTAACAGCCTTATACAATCTGACTGCTTTCCAATAAATTATCTTTTTGTCATTACTCTTGTCAGGAAGAGATTTCATTTGGAAGGCTTCTAAAATGTTCCACATAAAATCATATAATTACAGGACCACATATTCCTATTACAACTAACCTCCTATGATGGGGTTGCTATATGCTTCGGTGTTCAGACAGCTGCTCACACACCACTGCAACTGACAAATTAATTTTTTAAAGCAGAAAACAGAAAAGTACTCGCTATCACTGTGTAGTCATGGAGGTTGTATCAGATTAGAGTGAGAGCTAGATGTGACCCATGGACTGAGAATTTGGTCTTGTTTGTCCCTTGGCCTTTGGAAAGAATGCCCAAAAGAATGTCCTAAGAAGGTCGAAGCTATTTTTTCTCTAACCCCATAATATTCTGAAAATTGAGCTACTTACCCTATTATACAGTAGCCAGACCAATGGTTCCTATGTGTACAATTGTAATGTTTTTCATTGTGTTAAGTGCTCTAATTATATATATATATATATATATATATATACACAATTATATTTATTTATAGGACTGTATATGTTTCTATACATGACTCTGAAGCCAGAAAACGTATGTTTGCATATATGTGCATGCATGTGTATGTTATGACATGTGTGTCTATATATGTGCTACATCCCTGTTTCTTAGTTCACTATCTACCAACAAGATACTACCAGTCATGTGTATTATTTTATGTTTTGTGCACAATCTATACATGCCCCCCACAACCTGGATTCTCAAGAATGGTCTACCATAATAAAATGAATAAGCCTAGTAAAATGTGTAAAGTCTCCAGTATATATGTAATAAATTTTACCAAATATTTTTGTGAAAGATTTTTAATCAAAGTGATATGTATGTGTACATCTCAAAATACATTTGTTATCAAAAGGATTCTATTGGTACTCATTTTAGAGACAAACCAAAAGAAAGCACAGTAACAAAGAGGGTCTAATAATGAAAAAATAAGATTATCCTCTAATATAAATTTATAAAACACACTGCCAATAATTCTTTCATTTATAGGCAAACTTGAACATGGGATCTCTAATAATAAAGATTAAAGTTGACTTATATAGTTGAGGTGATGTATTTGTCACAAATTATATCAAATATGTCATGAACTAACTTAAGATATTTCTTTTTTTTTTTTTTTTTTTTTTTTTTTTTTGAGATGGAGTCTCGCTCTGTGGCCCAGGCAGGAGTGCAGTGGCGCAATCTCGGCTCACTGCAAGCTCCGCCTCCAGGGTTCACGCCATTCTCCTGCCTCAGCCTCCCGAGTAGCTGGGACTACAGGCCCCCACCATCACGCCCGGCTAATTTTTTTTGTATTTTTAGTAGAGACGGGGTTTCACCGTGTTAGCCAGGATGGTCTCGATCTCCTGACCTCGTGATCCGCCCGCCTCGGCCTCCCAAAGTGCTGAGATTACAAGCGTGAGCCACCTCGCCCGGCCAAGATATTTCATATATAATTTTCACAAATAATTTTTGGTAAAAAAGTTAAATTATTATTGCATCCAAAATTTTAATTAGGTGTTCAAGGCAAGATGGCAGAATAGGTTTCACCAATCATTTTCCCCACCAAAGGATATCAATTTAACAACTATCTATACACACACACACATCCCTTCATAAGAACCAAAAATAAGGTGAGCACTCATAGTACCTGATTATAACTTCAAAATCACTGAAAGAGGCACTGAAGAAGTACAAAAAAAAAATCTTGTTCTCTGATGCCACCCCTCCCAAATCCCCCTGGCTCCTCTGTCTTTTGAAGCTTATTGTGGAGACCATTTCTGTGTCTGAGGAGACAGAAATCATAGCAATTGTGAGGCATCAAACTCAGTGTTGCCCTCTTACAACAAAAAGCAAAACCCGACCAAACTCAGCTGATGTCCGACCAAGGAGAGAGCATTTAAACCAGCCCTAGTCAGAGGGGAATTGTCAATCCTAGTGGTCCAAACTTGAGTTCCCACAAGCCTCACCACCATGGGCTAAAGTGTTCTGGGGCCGCAAATAAACTTGAAAGACAGTCAACACCAAGAGGATCACAACTCCTGAGCAAGCCGAAGTGTTAAACTGGGCCCAGAGAGAGTGAACTGGTTGGGTATGAAACCTGCTTAGAGCGAATAGGAACAGCTGCGGTCTACAGCTCCCAGCGTGAGCGACGCAGAAGACGGGTGATTTCTGCATTTCCATCTGAGGTACTGGGTTCATCTCACTAGGGAGTGCAAGACAGTGGGTGCAGGTCAGTGGGTGCGCGCACCGTGCGCGAGCCGAAGCAGGGCGAGGCATTGCCTCACTTGGGAAGCACAAGGGGTCAGGGAGTTCCCTTTCCTAGTCAAAGAAAGGGGTGACAGACGGCACCTGGAAAATCGGGTCACTCCCACCCGAATACTGTGCTTTTCCGATGGGCTTAAAAAACGGGGCATCAGATTATATCCCACAACTGGCTCGGAGGGTCCTACGCCCACGGAGTCTGGCTGATTGCTAGCACAGCAGTCTAAGATCAAACTGCAAGGCGGCAGTGAGGCTGGAGGAGGGGCGCCCGCCATTGCCCAGGCTTGCTTAGGTAAACAAAGCAGCCAGGAAGCTCGAACTGGGTGGAGCCCACCACAGCTCAAGGAGGCCTGCCTGCCTCTGTAGGCTCCACCTCTGGGGGCAGGGCACAGACAAACAAAAAGACAGCAGTAACCTCTGCAGACTTAAATGTCCCTGTCTGACAGCTTTGAAGAGAGCAGTGGTTCTCCCAGCACGCAGCTGGAGATCTGAGAACGGGCAGACTGCCTCCTCAAGTGGGTCCCTGACCCCTGACCCCTGAGCAGCCTAACTGGGAGGCACCCCCCAGCAGGGGCAAACTGACACCTCACACAGAGTACTCCAACAGACCTGCAGATGAGGGCCCTGTCTGTTAGAAGGAAAACTAACAAACAGAAAGGACATCCACACCAAAAACCCATCTGTACATCACCATCATCAAAGACCAAAAGTAGGAAAAACCGCAAAGATGGGGAAAAAACAGAGCAGAAAAACTGGAAACTCTAAAAAGCAGAGCGACTCTCCTCCTCCAAAGGAATGCAGTTCCTCACCAGCAACGGAACAAAGCTGGATGGATAATGACTTTGACAAGCTGAGAGAAGAAGGCTTCAGACGATCAAATTACTCTGAGCTACGGGAGGACATTCAAACCAAAGGCAAAGAAGTTGAAAACTTTGAAAAAAATTTAGAAGAATGTATAACTAGAATAATCAACACAGAGAAGTGCTTAAAGGAGCTGATGGAGCTGAAAACCAAGGCTCGAGAACTACGTGAAGAATGCAGAAGCCTCAGGAGCCGATGCAATCAACTGGAAGAAAGCGTATCAGTGATGGAAGATGAAATGAATGAAATGAAGTGAGAAGGGAAGTTTAGAGAAAAAAGAATAAAAAGAAACGAGCAAAGCCTCCAAGAAATATGGGACTATGTGAAAAGACCAAATCTACATCTGATTGGTGTACCTGAAAGTGACGGGGAGAATGGAACCAAGTTGGAAAACACTCTGCAGGATATTATCCAGGAGATCTTCCCCAATCCAGCAAGGCAGGCTAACATTCAGATTCAGGAAATACAGAGAATGCCACAAAGATACTCCTCGAGAAGAGCACCTCCAAGACACATAATTGTCAGATTCACCAAAGTTGAAATGAAGGAAAAAATGTTAAGGGCAGCCAGAGAGAAACATAGGGTTACCCTCAAAGGGAAGCCCATCAGACTAACAGCTGATCTCTCGGCAGAAACTCTACAAGCCAGAAGAGAGTGGGGGCCAATATTCAACATTCTTAAAGAAAAGAATTTTCAAGCCAGAATTTCATATCCAGCCAAACTAAGCTTCATAAGTGAAGGAGAAATAAAATACTTTACAGACAAGCAAATGCTGACAGATTTTGTCACCACCAGGCCTGCCCTAAAAGAGCTCCTGAAGGAAGCGCTAAACATGGAAAGGAACAACCGGTACCAGCCGCTGCCAAATCATGCCAAAATGTAAAGACCATCGAGACTAGGAAGAAACTGCATCAACTAACAAGCAAAATAACCAGCTAACATCATAATGACAGGATCAAATTCACACATAACAATATTAACTTTAAATGTAAATGGACTAAATGCTCCAATTAAAAGGCATTGACTGGCAAATTGGATAGTCAAGACCCATCAGTGTGCTGTATTCAGGAAACCCATCTCACGTGCAGAGAGACACATAGGCTCAAAATAAAAGGATGGAGGAGGATCTACCAAGCAAATGGAAAACAAAAAAAAAGGCAGGGTTGCAATCCTAGTCTCTGATACAACAGACTTTAAATCAACAAAGATCAAAAGAGACAAAGAAGGCCATTACATAATGGTAAAGGGATCAATTCAACAAGAAAAGCTAACTATCCTAAATATATATGCACCCAATACAGGAGCACCCAGATTCATAAAGCAAGTCCTGAGTGACCTACAAAGAGACTTAGACTCCCACACATTAATAATGGGAGACTTTAACACCCCACTGTCAACATTAGACAGATCAACGAGACAGAAAGTCAACAAGGATACCCAGGAATTAAACTCAGCTCTTCACCAAGCGGACCTAATAGACATCTACAGAACTCTCCACCCCAAATCAACAGAATATACATTTTCTTCAGCACCACACCACACCTATTCCAAAATTGACCACATACTTGGAAGTAAAGCTCTCCTCAGCAAATGTAAAAGAATAGAAATTATAACAAACTATCTCTCAGACTACAGTGCAATCAAACTAGAACCCAGGATTAAGAAACTCACTCAAAACCGCTCAACTACATGGAAACAGAACAACCTGCTCCTGAATGACTACTGAGTACATAACGAAATGAAGGCAGAAATAAAGATGTTCTTTGAAACCAATGAGAACAAAGACACAACATACCAGAATCTCTGGGACGCATTCAAAGCAGTGTGTAGAGGGAAATTTATAGCACTAAATGCCCACAAGAGAAAACAGGAAAGATCCAAAATTGACAACCTAACATCACAATTAAAGGAAATAGAAAAGCAAGAGCAAACACATTCAAAAGCTAGCAGAAGGCAAGAAATAACTAAAATCAGAGCAGAACTGAAGGAAATAGAGACACAAAAAACCCTTCAAAAAATTAATGAATCCAGGAGCTGGTTTTTTGAATGGATCAACAAAATTGATAGACCGCTAGTAAGACTAATAAAGAAAAAGAGAGAGAAGAATCAAATCAACGCAATAAAAAATGATAAAGGGGATATCACCACCGATCCCACAGAAATACAAACTACCATCAGAGAATACTACAAACACCTCTACGCAAATAAACTAGAAAATCTAGAAGAAATGGATAAATTCCTCGACACATACACTCTCCCAAGACTAAACCAGGAAGAAGTTGAATCTCTGAATAGACCAATAACAGGATCTGAAATTGTGGCAATAATCAATAGCTTACCAACCAAAAATAGTCCAGGACCAGATGGATTCACAGCCGAATTCTACCAGAGGTACAAGCAGGAACTCATACCATTCCTTCTGAAACTATTCCAATCAATAGAAAAAGAGGGAATCCTCCCTAACTCATTTTATGAGGCCAGCATCATCCTGATACCAAAGCTGGGCAGAGACACAACCAAAAAAGAGAATTTTAGACCAATATCCTTCATGAACATTGATGCAAAAATCCTCAATAAAATACTGGCAAACTGAATCCAGCAGCACATCAAAAAGCTTATCCACCATGATCAAGTGGGCTTCATCCCTGGGATGCAAGGCTGGTTCAATATGCGAAAATCAATAAATGTAATCCAGCATATAAACAGAACCAAAGACAAAAACCACATGATTATCTCAATAGATGCAGAAAAGGCCTTTGACAAAATTTAACAACCCTTCATGCTAAACACTCTCAATAAATTAGGTATTGATGGGATGTATCTCAAAATAATAAGAGCTATCTATGACAAACCCACAGACAATATCATACTGAATGGGCAAAAACTGGAAGCATTCCCTTTGAAAACTGGCACAAGACAGGGATGCCCTCTCTCACCACTCCTATTCAATATAGTGTTGGAAGTTCTGGCCAGGCCAATTAGGCAGGAGAAGGAAATAAAGGGTATTCAATCAGGAAAAGAGGAAATCAAATTGTCCCTGTTTGCAGACGACATGATTGTATATCTAGAAAACCCCATTGTCTCAGCCCAAAATCTCCTTAAGCTGATAAGCAACTTCAGCAAAGTCTCAGGATACAAAATCAATGTACAAAAATCACAAGCATTCTTATACACCAACAACAGACAAACAGACAGCCAAATCATGAGTGAACTCTCATTCACAATTGCTTCAAAGAGAATAAAATACCTAGGAATCCAACATACAAGGGATGTGAAGGACCTCTTCAAGGAGAACTACAAACCACTGCTCAAGGAAATAAAAGAGGATACAAACAAATGGAAGAACATTCCATGCTCATGGGTAGGAAGAATCAATATCGTGAAAATGGCCATACTGCCCAAGGTAATTTACAGATTCAATACCATCCCCATCAAGCTACCAATGACTTTCTTCACAGAATTGGAAATAAACTACTTTAAAGTTCATGTGGAACCAAAAAAGAGCCCGCATCGCCAAGTCAATCCTAAGCCAAAAGAACAAAGCTGGAGGCATCACACTACCTGACTTCAAACTATACTACAAGGCTACAGTAACCAAAACAGCATGGTACTGGTACCAAAACAGAGATATAGATCAATGGAACAGAACAGAGCCCTCAGAAATAATGCTGCATATCTACAACTATCTGATCTTTGACAAACCTGAGAAAAACAAGCAATGGGGAAAGGATTCCCTATTTAATAAATGGTGCTGGGAAAACTGGCTAGCCATATGCAGAAAGCTGAAACTGGATCCCTTCCTTACACCTGATACAAAAATCAATTCAAGATGTATTAAAGACTTAAACGTCAGACCTAAAACCATAAAAACCCTAGAAGAAAACCTAGGCATTACCATTCAGGACATAGGCATGGGCAAGGACTTCATGTCTTAAACACCAAAAGCAATGGCAACAAAAGCCAAAATTGACAAATGGGATCTAATTAAACTAAAGAGCTTCTGCACAGCAAAAGAAACTACCATCAGAGTGAACAGGCAACCTACAAAATGGGAGAAAATTTTTGCAACCTACTCATCTGACAAAGGGCTAATATCCAGAATCTACAATGAACTCAAAGAAATTTACAAGAAAAAAACAAACAACCCCATCAAAAATTGGGCAAAGGACATGAACAGACACTTCTCAAAAGAAGACATTTATGCAGCCAAAAAACACATGAAAAAATGCTCACCATCACTGGCCATCAGAGAAATGCAAATCAAAACCACTATGAGATACCATCTCACACCAGTTAGAATGGCAATCATTAAAAAGTCAGGAAACAACAGGTGCTGGAGAGGATGTGGAGAAATAGGAACACTTTTACACTGTTGGTGGGACTGTAAACTAGTTCAACCATTGTGGAAGTCAGTGTGGCGATTCCTCAGGGATCTAGAACTAGAAATACCATTTGACCCAGCCATCCAATTACTGGGTATATACCCAAAGGACCATAAATCATGCTGCTATAAAGACACATGCACACGTATGTTTATTGTGGCATTATTCACAATAACAAAGACTTGGAACCAACCCAAATGTCCAACAATGATAGACTGGATTAAGAAAATGTGGCACATATACACCATGGGATACTATGCAGCCATAAAAAATGATGAGTTCATGTCCTTTGTAGGGACATGGAGGAAATTGGAAATCATCATTCTCAGTAAACTATCGCAAGAAGAAAAAACCAAACACCGCATATTCTCACTCATAGGTGGGAATTGAACAATGAGAACACATGGACACAGGAAGGGGAACATCACACTCTGGGGACTGTTGTGGGGTGGGGGGAGGGGGGAGGGATAGCATTGGGAGATATACCTAATGCTAGATGATGAGTTAGTGGGTGCAGCGCACCAGCTTGTCACATGTATACATATGTAACTAACCTGCACATTATGCACATGTTCCCTAAAACTTAAAGTATAATAATAATAAATAAATAAATAAATAAAAGAAACCTGCTTAGACACCAACCGAGGCAGCTAAGGGAATGCTTACATCAACCCTCCCCTAACCACAGGCTGCACAGCTCGCAGTTCCAAAAGATACCCCATCCTTCTGCTTGAGGAGAGGAGAGATAAGAGTGAGGAGGACTTTGTCTTGCATCTTGAATACCAGCTCAGCCACAGCAGAATAGGGCACTGGTCAGTCATGAGGCACCCTTTCCAGGACCTTCCTCCTGAGCAACATTTCTGGACCCATCCTGGGCCATAAGGGAAACTTCTGCCTTGAAGGGAATGACCAAGACCTGGAAGAAGTCATCACCTGCTAACTGAAGTGCCCTTGGCCCCTGAATAACCAGCAGTGATACCCAGATACTACATCAAGGGCTGTGAGACACTGAGACTTGCTGGCTTCAGGTGAGACTCAACACACTCCCAGCTATGGTGGCTACAGGGCAAGACTCCTTCCACTTGAGAAAAATAGAGAGAAAAGTAAATGAGACTTTGTCTCACTACCTTAGGTACCAGCTCTGTCACAGGATAATAGAGCACCAAACCAGACTTGAGAGTACTTATTCCAGGACTTGGCTATAGTACAGCATTTCTGTACCTGCCTTGGGCAAGAAGGGAGCCCACTGCCCTGTAGAGTGAGTCCAAAGTCAGAGTATTCAACACAAGCTGAGTGAACAGCCCTGGGTCTTAAGGAAATATCAGTGGTAGTCTGGCAATATTCTCTGTGGGCCTATGGTAGTGGTAGCCACTGGGTGAGGCTCCTCTGCATTTAAGAAAGGGAGGGAAGAGTGAAAAGGACTCTGTCTTGTGGTTTGAGTGCCAGGGTAGCCACAGTACAATAGAATACACAATTACACCTCTAAGGTGTGTGACTCTAGGGCCTGCCTCCCAGACAGCACCTCTTGGTATGTCAGGCGTCTGGGGGAGCTCACCACTCTGAAGGGAAGGACACAGGTCTGGAGGCTTTTCTACTGCTGATTGTAGAGCCCCAGGACCTTGAGCAAACATAGGCAGTAACCAGGGAGGGGTTACAGCAGGCCTTGGGTGAGACTCAGTGCTGTGGTGGCATCAGGTCTGACCCAGTGCAGTCACAGAAGTGGTGGCCATAGAGGTAGTTGTCACTCCACCTCTAGCTTTAACTGACTCAGAACAGAGGGAAAGACTCCTTTTCTTGGGAGATAGTAAGGGAGAAGAACAAAAATCTCTCTCCTAAAAATCTGGAGAATTCTCTGCAATCTTGTCCAAGACCATCAAGGTAATACCTCTAGGAGTCTGCAAGAGTCACAGAGCTAACTGGGCTTAGGGTGCTCCCTAAAGCACATACAGCTTAGATTGCATCACCCAAGTCCTTTCAAATATCTGGAAAGCCATCACAAGAAGGATAGGTACAAACAAACACAGACTGAGATGAATACAAAAAATACCTAACACTTCAATTCCCAGACACTGAGGAATATATACAAGCATCAAGACCCTCTAGGAAAACATGACCTCACCAAATGAACTAAATAAGGCACCAGGTACAAAAACTGGAAAAACAGAGATATGTGACCTTTTAGATAGAGAATTCAAAATAGCTGTTTTGAGAAAACTCAAAGAAATTCAACATAACGCAGAGAAGGAATTCAGAATTCTATCAGATAAATTTAATTAAAACATAGAAATAATCAAAAATAAGCAGAAATTCTGGAGCTAAAAAATGTAATTGGCACACTGAAGAATGCATTAGAGTCTTAAAAGTAGAATCAATCAAGTAGAAGAATAAATTCATGAGCTTGAAAACAGGCTATTTAAAAATACACAGTCAGAAGAGATAAAAGAAAAAGACAAAAACAACGAAGCACACCTACACGATCTAGAATATAGACTCAAAAGAGCAAATATAAGAGTTACCGGCCATAAAGAGCAGGCAGAGAAAAATGTAGTGGTAGAAAGTTTATTCAAAGGGATAATAACAGAGAATTTCCAAAACCTGGAGAAAGATATCAATATCGATGTACAGGAAGGTTATAGAATACCAAGTAGATTTATCCCAAAGAAGACTAACTCAAAGCATTTCATAATCAAACTCCCAAAGGCCTAAGATAAAGAAAAGATAGTAAAAGCAGCAAAAGAAAAGAAACAAATAACATACAATGGATCTCCATTACATCTGGCAGCAGACTTTTCAATGGAAACCTCACAGGCCAGTAAAGAGTGGCAGGACATATTTAAAATGCTGAAGGAAAAAAATATATTTACCCTAGAATAGCATATCTGGCAAAAATATCCTTGAAACATGAAGGAGAAATAAAGACTTTCCCAGACAAACAAAAGCTGAGGGATATCATCAACACCAGACCTAGACCTATTATAAGTGACATGCTAAATGAAGTCTTTCAATGAGAAACAAAAAATTAATGAGCAATAAGAAATCATCTGAAGGTACAATCCTCACTGGTAATATTAATAGTAATTACAGAAAAAAACACAGAATATTACGACACAGTAACTGTGGTGTGTAAATGCTCTTACTTTATATAGAAACACTAAACAATGAATGAATAAAAAATAATAACTACAACTACATTTTCAGACATAGTAAAATAAGATTTAAATAGAAACAACTAAAAGTTTAAAAGTTGGAGAATGAAGCTAAGGCATAAAGTTATTGTTGTTTCCTTTTTGCTTGTTTGTTTGTTTGCAAGTTTACGCAAACAGTGTAAGTTGTCATGAGCTTAAAACAATGGTTTATAAAATAAAATTTGCAATTCCCATGTTAACCTTAAAGCAAAAAAATACAAGGGGTCCAAAATATATATATAAAGCAAGAAACTAAACAGTATCACCAGAGGAAACCACCTTCTCTAAAAGGAACACAGGAAGGGAAAAAATGAAGGAGGAGAATACCACAAACTACCAAAAATCAAACAACAAAATGGCCGGAGTAAGTCCTTACTTAACAATAATAACAATGAATGTAAATAGACTAAACTCTCCAATCAAAACAGACTGGCTCCTGTAATCCCAGCACTTTGGGAGGCTGAGGCGGGTGGATCATGAGGTCAGGAGATCTAGACCAACCTGGCTAACAAGGTGAAACCCCGTCTCTACTAAAAAAAATACAAAAAATTAGCCGGGCGCGGTGGCGGGCGCCTGTAGTCCCAGCTACTCGGGAGGCTGAGGCAGGAGAATGGCGTGAACCCGGGAAGCGGAGCTTGCAGTGAGCCGAGATTGCGCCACTGCAGTCCGCAGTCCGGCCTGGGCGACAGAGCGAGATCCGTCTCAAAAAAAAAAAAAAAAAAAAAAAACAGACTGGCTGAATGGATGGAAGAACAAGAACCATTGATTTGTTGCCTACAAGAAACACACTTCACCTATAAAGACACATATAGACTGAAAATAAAGGAAAAAGATATGCCATCCAAGGCAAACAAAAAAGAGCATGAGTACCTACATTTATATCAGAAAAACTAGATTTCAAGAAAAAAAACTATGAGACAAAGAAGGTCATTATGTAATGATAAAGGAGTCAATTCAGCAAGAAAATACAATTTAAATATATATACACCCAACACTGGAGCACCGAAATGTATAAAGAAAATATTATTAAAGCTAAAGAGAGGTGAGACCCCAATACAGTAATAATTGGAGACTTCAATACCCCACTTTCAGCATTGGACAGATCTTTCAGACAGAATATCAACAAAGAAATATTGAATGGACATAATCTGCACTTATAGGCCGAATGAACATAATAGATATTTACAGAACATTTCATCCTACTGCTGCAGAATGCACATTCCTCTACTCAGCATGTGGATCATTGTAAAAAAAAGACCATATCTTAGGTCATAAAACAAGTCTTAAAACATTCACAAAAATTGAAATAATACCACGCATCTTCTCTGAACACAATGAAACAAAACAATAACAAAAGGAATTTTGGAAACTATATAAATACACAAATTAAACCATATGCTTCTAAATCACCAGTGGGTCAATCAATTATTTAAGATGGAAAAATTTTCTTAAAACAAATAATAACAAAAATACAACATACAAAAATTGATGGAATACAGTAATAGCAGTACTAAGAGAAAAGTTTACAGCTATAAGTGCATACATCAAAAATGAAGTAAAACTTCAAATAAACAATCTGATGAGATATCTTAAAGAACTACAAAAGCAAGAGCAAACCAAACCCAAAATCACTAGCAAAAAAGAAATAACCATGAGAACAAAAATAAATGAAATTGAAACAAAAATAATGCAAAAAACGAATGAAACAAAAGGCTGATATTTTTAAAAGTTAAAATTGACAAACCATAAGCCAGACTAGCTGATCAAAGAAGAAAGAAGATTCAAATAAATAAAAAAGATTAAATAAATGAGAGAAGATCCAAATAAATACATATAAGTAAATAAATATAAAAGGAGACATTACAACTAATACTGAGAAATTCAAAGAATCATTAGTGGCTACTGTGATCAACTACATGCCAATAAATTGGAAAATCTAGAAGAAATGGACAACTTCCTAAACACATATAACCCACCAAGATTGAATCATGAAGAAGTTCAAAACCTGAGCAGACCAATAACAAGTAATGAGATTGAAGCCGAAATGAGATCAAAGTAACAAGATGGAAGAAATGAGATCGAAGCTGAACAGTCTCCCAGTAAAGAAAAGCCTGCAACCCAACAACTTCCTGTTGAATTCTACAAAACATTTAAAGAAGAACTAATACCAATCCTACTCAAACAATTCTGAAAAATAGGGGAGGAAGAATGCTTCCAAACTCATTCTATGAAACCAGTACTACTCTGATTCCAAAACCAGACAAAGACAAATAAAAAAAAAAGAAAGAAAGAAAAGAAAACTACAGGCCAGTAACTCTGATGAATATTGCTGTGAAAATTCTCAACAAAATACTAGCAAACAAAATTCAACAATAAACGTAAAAGATCATTTATCATGACCAAGTGGATTTGTCCTTGGGATACTAGGATGGTTCAACATCAACAAATCAATTATTGTGATAAGTCATATCAACGGAATGAAGAACAACAACCATATGATCATTTCAATTGATGCTGAAAAGGCATTTGATAAAATTCAACACCCCTTCATGATAAATACCCTAAAAATCTGGGGATAGAAAGAACATAATATAAGCCATATATGACAGACTAAAAGCTAGTATCATACTTACTGGGGAAAAACTGAAAGCCTTTCCTTTAAGATCTGGAACATGACAAGAATGCCCACTTTCATCACTGTTATTTAACGTAGTACTGGACGTTTTAGCTAGAGCAATCAGACAAGAGAAAGATATAAAGGGCATCCAAATTAGAAAGGAAGAAGTCAAATTATCCTTGTTTGCAGAGGGTATAATATTATATTTGGAAAAACCTAAAGAATACACCAAAAAAAAATTAAAACTGATAAATTCAGTAAAGTTGTGGGACACAAAATCAATGCACAAAAGTCAGCAGGATTTCATATATATATATGTGTGTGTGTGTGTATGTGTGTGTGTGTGTGTGTGTGTATATACTTTAAGTTCTGGGATACATGTGCAGAACATGCAGGTTTGTTACATAGGTATACAACTGCCATGGTGGTTTGCTGCACCCATCAACCCATCTATATTAGGTATTTCTCCTAATGCTATCCCCCACCCAGTCCCCCCACCCCCAACAGGCCCCAGTGTGTGATGTTCCCCTCCCTGTGTCCATGTGTTCTCATTGTTCAAACCCCATTTATGAGTGAGAACGTGGTGTTTGGTTTTCTGTTCCTGTGTTAGTTTGCTGAGAATGATAGTTTCCAGCTTCATCCATCTCCCTGCAAAGGACATTAACTCATCCTTTTTTACAGCTGCATAGTATTCCATAGTGTATATGTGTCACATTTTCTGTATCCATTCTATTATAGATTGGCATTTGGGTTGGTTCTGAGTCTTTGCTATTGTGAACAGTGCTGCAATAAACATACATGTGCATTTGTCTTTATGTGGAATGATTTATAATCCACTGGGTATATACCCAGTAATGGGATTGCTGGATCAATGGTATTTCTAGTTCTAGATCCTTGAGGAATTGCCACACTGTCTTCCACAATGGTTGAATTAATTTAAACTCCAACCAACAGTGTAAAAGTGTCCCTATTTCTCCACATCCTCTCCAGCATCAGTAGTTTCCTGAACTTTTTAATGATTGCTATTCTAAATGGCATGAGATGGTATTTCATTGTGGTTTTGATTTGCATTTCTCTAATGACCAGTGATGAAGAGCTTTTCCTCATATGTTTGTTAGCTACATAAATGTCTTCTTTTAAGAAGTGTCGGGCCGGGCGCGGTGGCTCACGCCTGTAATCCCAGCACTTTGGGAGGCCGAGGCGGGCGGATCACGAGGTCAGGAGATCGAGACCATCCCGGCTAAAGCGGTGAAACCCCGTCTCTACTAAAAAATACAAAAAATTAGCCGGGCGTAGTGGCGGGCGCCTGTAGTCCCAGCTACTTGGGAGGCTGAGGCAGGAGAATGGCGTGAACCCGGGAGGCGGAGCTTGCAGTGAGCCGAGATCCCGCCACTGCACTCCAGCCTGGGCGACAGAGCGAGACTCCGTCTCAAAAAAAAAAAAAAAAAAAAAGAAGTGTCTGTTCATAGCATTTGCCCAATTTTTCATGGGGTTGTTTGTTTGTTTCTTGTAAATTTGTTTAAGTTCTTTGCAGATTCTGGATATTAGCCCTTTGTCATATGAATAGACTGAAAAAATTTTTCTCCCATTCTGTAGGTTGCCTGTTCACTCTAAGGGCTTTTGGTGTTTTAATCATGAAGTCTTTGTCCATGCCTATGTCCTGAATGGTATAGCCTATGTTTCCTTCTAGAGTTTTTATGGTTTTAGGTCTTTAATCCATTTTAAGTTAATTTTTATATAAGGTGTAAGGAAGGGGACCAGTTTCCTTTTTCTGTATATGGCTAGCCAGTTTTCCCAACACCATTTATTAAATAGAGAATCCTTTCCCCATTGCTTGTTTTTGTCAGGTTTGTCAAAGATCAGATGGTTGTAGATGTGTGGCATTAATTCTGAGGCCTGTGTTCTGTTCCATTCATCTACATATCTGTTTTGGTACCAGTACCATGCTGTTTTGGTTACTGTAGCCTTGTAGTATAGTTTGAAGTCAGGTAGCGTGATGCCTCCAGCTTTGTTCTTTTGGCTTAGGATTGTCTTGGCTATATGAGCTCTTTTTTTTGGTTCCATACGAAATTTAAAGTAAATTTTTCTAATTCTTTGAAGAAAGGCAATGGTAGCTTGATGGGGATAGCATTGAATCTATAAATTACTTTGGCCAGTAAGGCTATTTTCACGATATTCATTCTTCCTATACCTGAGCATAGAATGTTTTTCCATTTGTTTGTGTCCTGTCTTATTTTATTGAGAAGTGGTTGGAGTTTTCTTTGAAGAGGTCCTTCACATCCCTAGTAAATTTTATTCCCAGGAATTTTATGATCTTTGTAGCAACTGTGAATGGGAGTTCACTCATGATTTGGTTCTCTGTTTCTCTATTATTGGTGTATAGGAATGCCTGTGCTTTTTGCACATTGATTTTGTATCCTGAGACTTTGCTGAAGTTGCTTATCAGCTTAAAGAGATTTTGGGCTGAGACGATGGGGTTTTCTAAATACACAATCATGTCATCTACAAACAGAGCCAATTTGACTTCCTCTCTTCCTATTTGAATACCCTTTATTTCTTTCTCTTGCCTGATTGCCCTGGCCGGATCTTCCAATATTATGTTGAATAGAAGTGGTGAGAGAGGATATCCTTGTCTTGTGCCAGTTTTCAAAGGGAAGGATTCCAGCTTTTGCCCATTCAGTACGATACTGGCTGTGGGTTTGTCATAAATAGTTCTCATTATTTTGAGATATGTTCCATCAATACCTAGTTGATTGAGAGTGTTTAGCATGACGGGGTGTTGAATTTTATTGAAGGCCTTTTCTGCATCTACTGAGATAATCATGTGGTTTTTGTCACTGGTTCTGTTCGTGTGATGGATTACATTTATTAATTTGTGTATGTTTAACCAGCCTTGCATCCGAGGGATGACGCCAACTTGATCGTGGTGGATAAGCTTTTTAATGCGCTGCTGGATTTGGTTTGCCAGTATTTTATTGAGAATTTTCGCACTGATGTTCATCAGGGATATTGGCCTGAAATTTTGTGTGTTTGTGTATGTGTTCAATTTTAGAATAAGTGTGATGTGGTGCTGAGAAGAATGTATATTCTGTTGATTTGGGGTGGAGAGTTCTGTAGATATCTGTTAGGTTTTCTTGGTCCAGAGCTGAGTTCAAGGCCTGAATATCCTTGCTAATTTTGTCTCATTGATCTGTCTAATATTGACAGTGGGGTTTTAAAGTCTTCCATTATTATTGTGTGGGAGTGTAAATCTCTTTTTAGGTCTCTAAGAACTTGCTTTATGAATCTGGGTGCTCCTGTATTTGGTGCATATATATTTAGGGTAGTTAGCTCTTCTTATTGCATTGATCCCTTTACCATCATGTAATGCCCTTCTTTGTCTCTTTTGATCTTTGTTGGTTTAAAGTCTGTTTTATCAGAGACTAGGATTGCAAACGCTGCTATTTGTGCTTTCCATTTGCTTGGTAAATATTCCTCTATCCCTTTATTTTGAGTGTATGTGTGTCTTCGCATGTTTGATGGGTTTCCTGAATACAGCACCACAATGGGTCATGACTCTTTATCCAATTTGCCAGTCTGTGTCTTTTAATTGGGGCATTTAGCCCATTTACATTTAAAGTTAATATTGTAATGTGTGAATTTGATCCTGTCCTTATGATGCTACCTGGTTTTTGCCCATTAGTTGATGCAGTTTCTTCATAGTGTCGATGGTCTTTCCCATTTGGTATGTTTTTGCAGTGACTAGTACCAGTTTCTCCTTTCCATGTTTAGTGCTTCCTTCAGGAGCTCTTGTAAAGCAGGTCTGGTGGTGATAAAATCTCTTAGCATTTGCTTGTCTGGAAAGGATTTTATTTCTCCTTTGCTTATGAAGCTTAGTTCGGGTAGATATGAAACTCTGGGTTGAAAATTATTTTCTTAAAGAATGTTGAATATTGGCACCCACTCTCTTCTGGCTTGCAGGGTTTCTGCAGAGAGATCCACTGTTAGTCTGATGGGCTTCCCTTTGTGGGTAACCTGACCTTTCTCTCTGGCTGCCCTTAACATTTCTTCCTTCACTTCAACCTTGGTGAATCTGACAATTATGTGTCTTGGGGTTGCTCTTCTCGAGGAGTATCTTTGTGGTGTTCTCTCTATTTCCTGAACTTGAATGTTGGCCTATCTTTCTAGATTGGGGAAGTTCTCCTGGATAATATCCTGAAGAGTGTTTTCCAGCTTGTTTCCATTTTCCCCATCACTTTCAGGTACACCAGTAAAACGTAGGTTTGGTCTTTTCAAATACTTCCATATTTCCAGTTGATCTTCAATCTCTGATATCCTTTCTTCTGCTTGATCAATTCAGCTATTGATACTTGTGTATGCTTCACAAAGTTCTCATGGTGTGTTTTTCAGCTCCATCAGGTCATTTATGTTCTTCTCCAAACTGTTTATTCTAGTTAGAAATTTGTCTAACCTTTTTCAAGGTTCTTAGCTTCCTTGCATTGGGTTAGAACATGCTCCTTTAGCTCAGAGGAGTTTGTTATTACCTATCTTCTGAAGCCTACTTCTGTCAGTTCATAAAACTCATTATCTGTCCAGTTTTGTTCCCTTGCTGGGAAGGAGTTGTGATCCTTTGTAGGAGAAAGGCTTTCTGGTTTTTGGAATTTTCAGCCTTTTTGTGCTGCTTGTACCTCATCTTTGTGGATTTATCTACCTTTGGTCTTTGATGTTGGGGTTTCTGTGTGGACGTCCTTTGCGTCGATGTTAATGCTATTCCTTTCTGTTTGTTAGTTTTCCTTCTAACAGTCAGGCCCCTCTGCTGCAGGTCTGCTGGAGGTCCTCTCCAGACCCTCTTTGCCTGGGTATTACCAGTGGTGGCTGCAGAACAGCAGATTTCTGCCTGTTCCTTCCTCTGGAAGCTTCATCCCAGAGGGGCACCTGCCAGATGCCAGCCAGAGCTCTCCTGTATGAGGTGTCTGTGCCCCCTGCTGGGAGGTGTCTCCCTGTCAGGAGGCACAGGGGTCAGGGACCTACTTGAGGAGGCAGTCTGTCCTTTAGTAGAGTTCAAGCACTGTGCTGGGACATCGGCTGCTCTCTTCAGAGCCAGCAGGCAGGAATGCTTAAGTCTGCTGAAGCTGCACCCACAGCCACCCCTTCCCCCAGGTGCTCTGTCCCAGGGAGATGGGAGTTTTATCTATAAGCCCCTGACTGGAGCTGATGCCTTTATTTTAAAGATGCCCTGCCCGTAGAGGAGGAATCTAGAGAGGCAGTCTGGCTATAGCAGCTTTGCTGAACTGTGGTGTGCTCCGCCCACTTCAAACTTTCTGGAGGCTTTGTTTACACTGTGAGGGGAAAACTGCCTACTCAAGACTCAGTAATTGCGGACGCCCCTCTCCCCACCAAATTCGAGCATCCCAGGTCGATTTCAGACTGCTGTGCTGGCAGCGAGAATTTCAAGCCAGTGGATCTTAGCTTGCTGGGCTCCATGGGGGTGGGATCCACTGAGTTAGACCACTTGGCTCCCTGGCTTCATCCCCTTTTCCAGGGGAATGAACAGTTCTGTCTCGCTGACATTCCAGGTGTCACTGGGGTATAAAAGAAACTCCAAAAGTCAGTAGCATTTCTATTAGATTGGTATGAAAGTAATTGTGGTTTTGCACAGTGAATTTTTAAATCATTTTAGCTAGGCTCAAACACATCTTTATTAATCAAAATAGGAACCATTACAATCAACACATTTTTGCCAATGAGAAGTTTGTTTTTTCCTGTAGCATAAGAATCCATGCTTCAGGATTCAACAAATTCTTGGAAAGCACTTTCTGCATCCTGCTGGTTGTGGATGCATTTGCCCCGCAAAAAGTGGTCAAGATGCTTGAAGAAGTGGTAGTCAGTTGGTGAGAGGTCAGATAAACATGGCAGATGAGGCAAAACTTCGTAGCCCAATTGGTCCAACTTTTGAAGCATTGGTTATGCGATGTGTACTCGGGAGTTGTCATGGAGAAGAGTTGGGCCCTTTCTGTTGACTAATGATGGCTGCAGGCATTGAAGTTTTCAGTTCATCTCATCGATTTGCTGAGCATACTTCTCAGATATAATGGTTTCACCAGTATTCAGAAAGCTGTAGTGAATCAGACTGGCAGCAGACCACCAAAGAGTAACCATATGACCTTTTTTGGGTGCAAGTTTGGCTTTGGGAAGTGCTTTGGAGCATCTTCTCGGTCTAACCACTGAGCTGGCTGTCTCCAGTTGTTGTCTAAAATCCACTTTTCGTCGCACATCACAATCCGATTGAGAAATGGTCCATTGTTGTTGCATAGAATAGGAGAAGACAACATTTCAAAATGACAATTTTTTTTTATTTTTGCTCAGTTCATGAGGCACCCACTTATTGGCTGTTTCACCTTTCCAATTTGCTTCAAATGCCAAACGACTATAGAATGGTGGACGTTGAGTTCTTCCACAGCTTCTTGTGTAGTTGTAAAAGGACTGGCTTCAATGATTGCTCTCAATTGGTTGTTGTCAACTTCCAATGGCTGGCCACTATGCTCCTCATCTTCAAGACTCGTCTCCTTTGCAAAACTTCTTGAACCACCACTGCACTGTATGTTTGTTAGCAGTTCCTAGGCCAAATGCGTTGTTGATGTTGCGAGTTGTCTCTGCTGCCTTACAACCCATTTTTAACTGGAATAAGAAAATCGCTTGAATTTGTTTTTTGTCTAACATCATTTCCATAGTCTAAAATAAACTTAAAATAAACAGCAAGTAATAAGTCATTAGCAAAAAAAATAAAGCAAGAAATGCCCATTAAAATGATGTATAACATAACCACATTTATTTAAGAATGTATTCCAATATCAAATGGCAAATTCCAACAATGCAAAAACCATAATTACGTTTGCACCAACTGAGTATATGCCAACAGTGAACAATCTGAAAAAGAAATCAAAAAAGTCATCTGTTTACAATAGCCACAAATAAAATTAAATACCTAGAAATTAATCAAAAAAGTAAAAAATCTCTATAATAAAAACTATAAAAGACTGATAAAAGAAATTAAAGAAGACATCAAAAAATGAAGACATTCCATGGATATAAATTAGAAGAATCAATATTGTTAAAATATCCATACTACCCAAAGCAATCTACAGAATCAGTGCTATCCCTATCAAAATACTGATGACATTCTTCACAGAAATAGAAAAAAAATCCTAAAGTTTATTTGGAACTACAAAAGACCCAGAACAGCCCAACCTATTCTAAGCAAAAAGAACAAAACTGAAGGAATCTCATTACCCAACTACAAATTTTATACTACAAAGCTATAGGAACCAAAACAGCATGGTACTGGCATAAAAACAGACACATAGGCCAATGAAACAGAATAGAGAAGCCAGAAACAAATCCACACACCTATAATTAACTCATCTTTGATAAAGGTACCAACAACATACGCTGGAGAAAAGGCAGTCTCTTCAGTAAAGAGTGCTGGGAAAATTGGAATTCCACATGCAGAAGAATGAAACCAGATCTCTATCTCTTGCCATATACAAAAATGAAATCGAAATGATTAAAGATAAATCTAAGTCCTCAAAATATGAAAATACTACAAGAAAACATTGGGGAAAATCTCCAGGACATTGGTCTGGGCAAAAACTTCTTGAGCAGTACCCCACAAGCACAGGCAACCAAAGCAAAAATGAACAAATGGGATCACAGCCAGTTAAAAAGCTTCCACACAGCAAAGAATACAATCAACAAAATGAAAACACTACTCACAGAATGAGAGAAAATATTTGTAAACCACCCATCTAACAAGGAATTAATAAGAAGAATATATAAGGAGCTCAAACAACTCTATAGAAAAATTTTAATAATCTGATCAAAAATGGGCAAAGTATTTGAATAGCCATTTCTCAAAAGAAGACATCCAAGTGGCAAACAGGTACATGAAAAGGTGATCAGCATCACTGATCATTAGACAAATGCAAATCAAAACTACAATGATCTATCATCTCACCCTAGTTCAAATGGCTTATATCCAAAAGACAGGCAATAACAAAGGCTGGCGAGGATGTGGAGGAAAAGGAACCCTTGTACACTGTTGGTGGGAATGTAAATTAGTACAACCACTGTGGAGAACAGTTTAAGATATCATATGATCCAGCAATCTCACTGCTGGGTATATACCCAAAAGAAAGGAAATTCAGTATATCGAAGAGATACATGCACTCCTGTGTTTGTTGCAGCACTGTTTACAATAGCTAATTTTCGGAATCAACCTAAGTGTCTATCAAGAGATGAATGAATAAAGAAAATGTGGTACATATACATAATGGAATAGTATTCAGCAATAAAAACGAATGAGAGATCCTGTCATTTGCAACAACATGGGTAAAACTGGAGATCATTATGTTAAGTGAAATAAGCCAGGCACAGAAAGACAAACATCACATGTTCTCACTTATTTGTGGGATCTAAAAATAAAAACAATTGAACTCATGAATACAGAGAGTAGAAGGATGGTTTCCAGATGCCAGGAAGAGTAGTGGGAGAGTAAGGGGGAGGTGGGGACAGTTAATGGGTACAGAAAATATAGAAAGAATGAATAAGACCTTCTATTTGATAGCACAACAGGGTGGCTAGAGTCAATAATAAATTAACTGTACTTATTTAAATAACTTAAAGAGAGTGATTCAATTGTTTGTAACTGAAATATTAAGTGCTTGAGGGGATGGACACCTCATTCTCCTTGATGTGCTTATTTCACATTGTATGCTTGGATCAAAACATCTAATGTACCTCATAAATATATACACCTACTATGTACCCACAAAAATTAAAATGAAAAACTTTAAAGGTTAAAAAAACAAAATTTCAATTTAAATGATTCTAAATTAGTATCAAACAATAATTAAAATGTAATTCCCTGTACATGAATTCATTTTTGAAAGAAAAATATCTGAACATAGTTATGGAATTAACTTTCTGTAATGTAAATTTTACTGAATTAAAAAGAAGTTTTAAGTTATATAATAAAGTTTGTGGCATAAACCCCTTGTAGTATATTGCTTCGTTATATGTAAAACAGGAGAAAAAAATTAAGCAGCTGTTGCAATACATTCTCCTTCATTCTGCCTATTTAGTTCATTTAGTTCTCTCAACCCTGGCTTGCAGGGATCATATTCTCTAAAATATGCCAGTAGAAATGTGCAAAAGTCAAGTGTCTCATTTACTTTCACTATGTTTTGCTGTGCTGCTTTCAATACTCTGGGCCATATGACGATTTCCTCAAGCTTCAAATCCTTTTGTATTCATTGAAGATGACTTTATCGTGATCTTTTTTGTTGTCATTTACTGTTTTTAGTAATTCTTCCTCCAACACTCCCAACTGTATCAAACATGCCTTCAGTACCTAAATAATTTAAATGTTAACATGCTTTAGAATTTAATGTTGGCAGGGCGCGGTGGCTCATGCCTGTAATCTCAGCACTTTGGGAGGCCGAGGTGGGCAGATCACGAGGTCAGCAGATCGAGACCATCCTGGCTAACACGGTGAAACCCCGTCTCTACTAAAAATACAAAAACAAAATTAACCGGGCGTGGTGGCAGGCACCTGTAGTCCCAGCTACTCGAGAGGCTGAGGCGGGAGAATGGCGTGAACCCGGGAGGCGGAGCTTGCAGTGAGCCGAGATCACGCCACTGCTCTCCAGCCTGGGCGACAGAGCGAGATCCGTCTCAAAAAAAAAAAAAAAAAAAAACAGAAAGACTCCGTCTCAAAAAAAAAAGAAAAAAAAAAAAAGGATTTAATGTTATTAGCTCATTCTAAATAAATCCTATGACAATGTTACAACTTAAATCTGCCAAAGAAATGATGCCCCTAAATCTTTTTGCCTAGTAATATTCAGCCTGAGTGGTCAGTTTTGCAATCATTTCCATAAAGTTTTGGAACCATGCCTGGATTGAAATTGCTTCCTATCTTGTTCAAAATTACAACAGTCAAAACACACAATACATAGTTCTGCTTCCCAGTACAATGTCGGTTTCCTCCATTTAGAAAGGTGCAGTGATTTACCAGTAATTTAACCTACAGATATTTGAAGGTTGGAGAGTTATCTCTAAGGGGCTGTTGACCTTCAGCAACTGAAAGAACTAGAACTCCAGCCTCAGTCAATATATATTTATCTTTCTGTTGGGACTATTACAACTGTGCAAGAAATGCTGACCTTGAAACTTCTAGCACAGAATGCATGCAAATAATGTTTCCTAAAGGAAAAATATAAAAATACCTAAATAGGATATCTACATCTAAAATGCACATTCTGTAAAGATCAAAAGAAATACTCTGAACGTTCAAATAAATTCTAAAGGAACAAGCATATTATTTCTGTGATCCACTGGTTTGCTCTTAAATGTGAATTGGGGTGTAATCCCACTAGACCAGAATGATAAAATTTGGAAAAGCAAAGTATTTTTTATTTTCTGAAAAGTTACTAGTATCAAGAGCCTGGCTTGTTTTCAGGTGAATGATTTTTATTCCCCACAAAACCATAATACTATAGATCTCTCAAAAATCATCATATCCCATATTGACTACATTTATACCAAAACACACTTTTGTATATCTGGAAAAAATGTAGATGGTGTATGCTGAAACTCTTTTTAATAATTTTTCATTTTGTCTGATGGAATATTTGCTTGAAAGGAAACTTTTTTCACACCAAATAGTCATAGTCCGCATTCTTGTTAGGAACCAGTGGGATATATGTACTCTTTCAGAAGACTAAGTAAGGCATTACTAAATATGTAACAATGCAAGTGTGCTAAACAGAGGTTAGAAAGATTCAATTAAAGTATAATTAACAACCAGCAAGTCATGCAAATCCTAAGAAAACTGGCTGGACATCCTATTCAAATACAGTGTGAGATTTCATAGGAAAAAGGCTCATTTTAAAATAAACAAATAGGAAATTGATGTATAGAGCTAATTGAACGTTAAATAAGGACTTCTGGGAACAAATATCTAATTATTCATGGTAAAAAAATACATAATGTTTTATTTTTACAATTTTGTTCTTCTGAAATGTACATATAGAAAACTGGGGAACTACAAAAAGGTCTATGAATGGAAATAGAAACATGAATGCATTTATAAAACTATTATCATATAATTGGTTTGTCTATTGAGTGGCATGGGGTCATTTGCATGTCTCCCATTTGGTTGTCATCTTTCTTACAAAGGAAGGAAACAACTTGGGAAGAAGGGAAATCTCTTTGGTGGGCCTATTAGCATTAAAAATCTCTAGATCTCCTTCCTCCCAAAAACATAACTACAATGCAGTCAACAGATACAACATAAACCAAGAAAGCCACTGATTTGCTGGTATGTTGATTAAAAGCTACGTTATCGCATTGAGAGATCTGATAGTATTTAAAATGCTACAGAAAGATTTTCTTCATTAAAAAACAATTTTCAACTAATCTTATTATATGGAATCATCAAGTAAACCTTTATAGGGACTTGTTTTCTCTGACATAGAACACCTCACTTGAGCTGACTTCTAAACTCATCCATACAATTCAAATCAATAGCAATGTAAACTTAGTCCCTCCTCAATGTTACTAGTTTTGAAATTTTTACTTTGCATCGGAAAGAACTAGAGATCTCTCTATTCCTTTCATCAGGTGTCCAATCTACTCCAATCTAAAATTATCTTAGTAATGCTCACACGAAGATGTTTTCTTCATGGCTGGTTTTTATACAAAGCTATTTTTCTCATTGTTGTTGCTGCTGCTGTTGCTGCTGTTGTCTTACCTGTAAACTCTAGCTACTTGCAGGGAGTGTGAGGCACTGCTACCCTTTAGTTCTCTCTGAATCCAAGTTAAATTTTGTCATCTTGACATTGTTCTAATTTTTCTCAAAATTCCCTCTGTTAAAATAGTATATTTACAGCACTATTCACAATAGCAAAGGTATGAAATAAACCTAAGCATCCATCAACAAGTAATTAAAGAAAATGTGATATACACACACACACACACACACACACACACTCTCAAAGGAATACTATTCAGCCATTAAAAAGAATGAAATCATATGTTTCGCAGCAACATGGATGGAACTGGAGGCCATTATCTTAAGTGAAACAACTCAAAAACAGAAAGTCAAATACCACATGTTCTCACATAAGTGAGAGCTAAATAATGTGTAAACATGGTCACAAAGTGTGGAATAATAAACACTGGAGACTGAGAAGCATGGGGAGCTGGGCAGGGAGTGAGGGATGAGAAATTACTTAATGGGTACAGTGTACATTATTAAGGTGATGGATACCCTAAATGCCCTCACTTCACCACTACACAATCTATGCATATAACAAAATTGCACTTGTACCCCACAAATTTGTACAAATCAAAAAGTACATTTAGTGTAGTAGGCATTATTTGAGGAAGGAAAGTTGGAAATACACTGATCCTTTTTATAAAACTATTTTAACAAGGGCATGATAAAATTTAAGGTAACATATTTTAGCTCTTGCATTAAAATGTCTTGGTTCTGGGAGTAGAATGGAAAATTTAAAAATGATTTTATTACACCCAAATCAAAATGTACATTTTGGAACATAGTGTTCTTACTGCTTCTACCGTCACCAAATTCATTTGCACCCCCATGGCTATGTTCCTTACTTCTCCCTGCTCAACCAATTCCTACTCATCTTTCACGTCTCAGATTCTTTACATTTCTAATCTTTAATAGTTCCATTGAATATAGCATTCATTGAAATTCTGCTATGAGCAAAGTACTGTGACAGAAACTAAAGGCAAATATATTATAGAAATATTGCATTATAATATTCTGTGTACAGAAAAGGAAAAATCAAATTAACTATGTGGATTCATGGAAAAGATGGAATTTGAATTTGCCTTGAAATATTACAAATAGAAATTTAAGCAGGGAACACTTAGGGACTGCCCTATAAGGCTGAAACAACAGCACTAACATTGTCAGAGAGTCAAACAAGCTAATTCTTGAAGAGCCTTGATGGTCCTCTCTTTTATCAATCTCTTCTCTGACTTCCTGTAGCACTTGTTCTCTATAATACATTATTTGGCACTTATTTGTTATAGGGTTGCTGTGTACTCTAATTTTTTGTACATCTTCATTCTTACAAAAGACTATGAGTTCTGTAAGTGCCAAAATGTCTTATATTTCTTAGAAATTTCCCAATATCTATTATAGGGTGGCCACATAGTCGACAACGAAGATACAGTTAATTAACTGATTGATTCAAATGAAAGATATTACAGATGTTTATCTAAATATTAATTTATTTTTATTTCTTTTAAAAAGAAGTGATTTCTCCCTCTATTGGGGACCCACAAGTAGCCAGAAAAGAATATCTGCATTCACTCACATAATAAAGTGAAACACAGATGCAATCTGTATACTATGAAACCAGATGGAGACACAATATTTTACATGCAGTTAAGTCTACACCCTGTCTTTCCATTATCCAAATATAACAATGTATTTGGCAAGAGCAATTATAAATAAGTTAAAAGAGAATTTTCTAAAATATGTAGAAAATATAAAGGGTGGAAGGTTTTGATAACCTGCTTGTGGCTTTGAAGCATCGAAATCAATGACTATTGAGGAATTAACCTCATAAAGCTTTTAAAAATTCTGGCATGAAACGAATCCCACCTCTATCTAACCATATCTTTTAATCCAAGTGACTTCTAGAGGTGCTGAAATACTACACTTGACTCGTAGGTCTTTTGTAGAGAGTGAGCTATTCACAAGTGTGTATGTGGAGAAATGTACTTGATGGCCATTGTCTTATTTTCCCTTCCACTTGTTCCATTCTCAGAAGTCCCCTGCTATAGTCTCAAAAAGCAATCTATGTGTTGTCTCTTTTCTATATTCAATATCAGTGTAGAAACAAAGGCATTAGCATTCAAAGCCATATTTTGTGTCAAAGTCTAAAGAACAGAGTATTTGATTGGGAATCAGAAGAACTAGGTTCTGATATCCATCTTCAAAGCTCGGCAGGTCACTCAACTTTACTCTGACCAAAACACATCCATTTGGAAATGTGGATTTCTACAATCTGCATGTATCCCCACCCCCAAGCCAAGCCAACCCAGTGGAAGAATCATCTGAATGACAAAATACATGTAAAAGGTGGTAAACTCTTTAGGAAAAAAAAAAAATATATATATATATATAATATATATATATATAATTAAAACATGAATCTTATCTTAGTTTGTTTCCTGCTTTGAGGAGTGGGTGAAGAATTGTTTTATATTCACTTTTCTGAAAGCCTTATACTTTGAACCACTCATCTTATTAGCTGAAAAATGTTATCCTTGTTGACAATAATAGTGAATATATAAAACCAAACAGCAAAGCCCTAAAAGCCTCAGAGTACTTTTTAACACAAAATGACAAATCTCAAAGAACCTCATTAGAGACCAAAAATAGGTTCTAACATGTCATTTCTATGTAATATTTGTTTCATTGTAGTATACTTCTAAATTTCAGTCCTGCCTTTGGTAAATAATGTACCTAGTCAATTGTTGAGTTCTGTATATCTCTTCTTCAGAAAATTTCCTCCCTGCCCTTAAAGAACAGCATATTCTGTTAAGTGTGAAATTTGATTACCTGTATTATCAGATCTTGCACTTTTAAAAATTGTTATACTTCTGTCTGAGTCACTAAAATATGTGCCAGTGGACTGTCCCTTTATGTGGTGTGTAGAATTTAGCTGTTAAAAGCTCAAGCCAAATATGTTAGTAGGCCAAAGCGCTTTCAGCAACATTTATAGAGTAAGTCCTCAAAGTTGTCATCAACAGGTTCTTAGAAAGTTCGAAAATGTGGTACATATACACAAAGGAGTTCTATCCAGCCACAAAAAAATAAAGAGATTCTGTCATTTGCAACAACACGGGATAATACTGGAGGTCACTATGCTAAATGAAATAAGCCAGGCACAGAAAGATAAACATTGCAAACATCACATGTTCTAACTTAGTTGTGGGATTTAAAAATCAAAACAATTGATCTCATGAACATAGAGAGTATGCTGGTTACCAGAGGCTGAGAAGGGTAGTTGGGGGGTGGGGAGGGGTAGATAGGGATGTTTCATAGGTACAAAAAAATAGTTAGAAAGAATGAATAACATCTAGTATTTGATAGCACAACAGGGTGACTATAGTCAATAGTAACTTAATTGTACATTTTAAAATAACTGAAAGAGGGTAACTGGACTGTAACACAAAGGATAAATTCTTGAGGGGATGGATACTCCATTTTATAAGATGTGATTATTATAGATCGCATGCCTGTATCAAAACATCTCATGTACCCCATAAATATATACACCTACTATGTAACCACAAAAATTAAAATAAATTGTCCAGGCTCGGTGAGTCACACTTGTAATCCCACCACTTTGGGAGGTCTAGGCAAGCAGATCGCTTGAGGTCAGGAGTTTGAGACCAGCCTGGCCAACATGGCGAAACCCTGTCTCTACTAAAAATACAAAAATTAGCTGGGCGTGGTGGTGCCTCCTGTAATCCCAGCTACTCGGGAGAGTGAGGCACGAGAATCGCTTGCACCCTGGAGGCAGGGATTGCCGTGAGCTGAGATCTCACCACTGCACTCCAGCCTAGGTGAGAGAGCAAGACTCCATCTCAAATAAAATAAAATAAAATAAAATAAAATAAAATAAAATAAAATAAAATAAAATAAAATAAATGTTTTAAATGAATGAAAAAAATTTTTGAAAAGATTCACTTTTGATTTCCCATGTGGCATTGGTTAAATTGCTTTGCTTTTTTGTGCTTCATCTGAAAAATGGAGATGATGGTAGTGCCTAGCTCAAAATTTGTTGTGAGGCTTAAATGAGTTAATATGTACAAAGCAGTTAGAAGAGTTCCTGGCACATAGTAAGCACTCAATGAACGTTAACTATTATTTACTATGATTACTTTTTCTCAAAGAACACAAGGAATTTGAGTCTCTTATTTTTTCATTATATGAATTAAACAATGAAGGAAGCCTGTTATATTATGGCCCTTTGGCACATAATAAAATGAATTTAACCCAGCTCTTTTCACACGCAAAGTTGAAATCACTAAACTTCTTGAAAGAAATTTTTTGCTTAGGTTTTCTAGTGATCTTTTTTCTTTCCTGACAATTTTTCTCATCTACTGCTGTTCTCCCAATTACAAACACATAGACATAAAACAATTAGCACATAGTGTCAGAATTTTTGGTGTCAGAATTTTTTGATGTCAGAATTTAGCTAGGCAGACTGATGTTTATGCCATTTATGTAAGGAGAAGTTCTTTTATCTATATTACCCATGCAGCCAATGTATAGTGAGATTTAGGTCTATAGAATGGAACTATAACATTTAATATCAGCAAATGGGGTGGGGGGACACTAAGCCTAAGCCAGGAATGATTTTAAAACATGCAGACAATGAAGCATGAATAATTTCTATTTGTCACATTACTGTGATTACTTTCCTACAGTATTAATAGTATAAGAATCATAGAATATTATGGCTAAGAGGGAACTTAAAACCATTGATGCTGACCACATCGTTTTACAAATGAGGGAACTGAGGGCTCTAAAAGATTAAATGAACTGACCAAAGACACACAGCCTGCTGGCCCATGCAAAGACCTACAAATCCATCTTTGAGAGACATTTAAATCATTAGTGTTTATACTAAGTACTGATTTTCAAGAAACTAAAGATAACATGAATGAAAAAGTTCAGGACAAATCAATAGCTTTTGAAATTTCCAGATTTTGAATTTTCAGATTTTGTGTGTAAAATCTCCCAAACATAAAATTCCATAAACACAAAATATATATTTAAATAATCAAGACCATCCTCAAATGCTTATTCATATTTATATAGATTGTTATATTCACAGATTTCTATATGAACATTTGTCTCAATATAGGAGCTTCCAATAAATAAGGTTATGCTCACTGATCTCTATTTTCTAGCACTTAAGGAATATTTCTTAACATTTGGATATTAAATATTCAGATAATTGCATACGTGTACATCTGTACACAGAAGACTTCATCCACAGTAATGATGACATATTCATTTCAACTATTACAAATCAACAGCATAGCTAGTCATTGGTGTAAACTCATGATCATTTGTCAATTTAAAGATAATCAAATAATTTGATTAAATTGATTTAAATCTGGCTTCAAACATTGAGAAAATATAATTTCAAAAGTATTCTGACATGCATCAGTATGATGATTTCAGACCATCTGAATTATTTTTTATCCATAATATATATTAACTATCAAAGACAACAGTTCAATATTCTATAAAAACATTTAAAAAAGATAAATGTACATAATTAACAAATAGTAACTGATAGTTACATGGCACTGCTATGGAGCAGTAACATGTTTTATACACTTCTAATGTGTAGTACAACTTATTTTTCATAACTCCACAAGGAAGGGACCATATAACATGTTAAGAAAACTGAGGTCCAGAGAAGTTAAGTAACATGCCCAAAGTCACAATCATAGTCAATTGCAAAGGTAATACTCAAAACCGGGCAGTCTGGTTCAAGAACCCACACTATTAACTATTAGATTATGCTGCCTCCAAATCAAGCTACAAATTTGCATGCAATATGTTGCATGAAACTTTGCATGAAGACACGGAATAGACAAAACTATATACTTTGACAGTATCAGTTGCCACTATCTTATAATGTTTTTAGAACGTCAGTTTTGCAGTGGCCTTCAAAATTATGCAAGTCTAATTTCTTCATTCTACAGATAAGGAAACTAAAGCTCAGGGACTTATTGTTTTAAATCATTTTGTTGACTACGGTTGTATGACACCCGTGTTTCCAGCACAGTTCAGGTAAATTGAATATGAAAGTGAAATATAATAGATTGATTCTAAAACAGTGTTTCTCTGTGTGGTCTCTGGACAAGCAGCATGGACATCACCTGGGAACTTGTTAGAAATCCAAAGTCTCAGTCCTATCCCACACCTAGCAAATCAGAAACTTAGGGGGTGGGGCCCAGCAATCTGTGTTTTAACAAACCCTTGAGGGGATTCTGAGGCATGATAAAGGTTGAAAACCACTGTTTTTTCTCTAAATTCAAGTTCTAGTTATGAACAAGTTCATTTTGTTGGTTGAAATCCCTTCAGTTTTACATGCAGAGTAAAAAAGTAGCCTTTTCACCTACTCCTAAAGACACAAATCATATATACACATACACACACACATACACACATGCACATACGTATTATCTACATTACACACATAAATAACATGATCATACCTATAACTAATAATACTGTCTACATAATACACATAAACAGATGTGATGTTATTTATGTGTATTTTATAGATAGCTCTGCCATCTCCCAGGCACGTGTCCATTCTAATCACCACCCTTGCCTCCCTTTTTGAAGAAATCTCTCCTCCACAAAAGTTTCACCTTAAGACAATAAAATATATCTCTTTTTTCCTGTGATCTCAGAATCTGTGGAATATGCTTTAACAGGCACCAACTCTTTCACAAGATGCAAGAAGAAATAGAGAGGCACAATTAGTATTCTCTGATTTTATAGTATGTGCAAATATTCAAAATGTTTATTCAAAGATAATGTATGCCCACCAGATTTCCTTTATTCAAATAGTACTTCCTGAAAAACTAAAATATAAAGTTTCTGGGACTATGATTCGAGGAGAAATGAAAAAGAAAAGCTAATCACTAAAGAATAAAAATAAATAATGTTTTCTGTTTTTTAAAACTTTCACCCTTTACCTGTGCTCTGTAAGAATTGGTCAGCACTGAAAGGGGAAAAAAAAGTGGTAACAAGCCTTTTAGAATACAAAGGGTGACATTGGTCTTTTAGGAATATAATATAATGTGTACTATTGGAAGTAAATAAATATGTTTCCTTAAGAGAAGATCACTTACACTCTAGGAAGACTGGGAGAATCTTGTTTTGCCACTCATCTGTCCCGCAATAATATCAACGATATGTATTCATTTATAAAAAGAACAGCTTCTATTAAACCATAGAAGTACAAGGAACTGCCATATCCACTCTTCATAGTATGCACTGATTTTCTGTATATTTCAATGCTGAGCTTATGGTTAGACCTTTTAAGATGGCTTTGAATCTAATGGCCACGGAGATTACGAACCCCTCCCAACTACCCATGCATCTTTAGGACTGGAGATGTTAATTACAGTCCTCTGGTTCTCCTACCCCTAGGTTTGTACTTCAGCAAAAATGATAAAGGATGTTTCCCACAGAGACCTGAGAACTTGGGAATTATTTTTCTTGAATCTAAAAGAAATCAATTGATTGGCCTTCACAGTGAGGGGCAAGTCTATATAGCATAGTGCCATGAGCTGTGAAAAAGGAGCCTAAGCCCATCAGTTCTTTCATAACACGACCAGGCCTCTCTTTCAATAATACTATTTATAATACAAAAATAGAAGTATTGGGAAAGATTTTGCCTTTTCACACAAACAGACACATGTAGTAAGTAACAGTGTTGGTTCAATTGTAAGACAACAGTTTCGTAACATCTTTAGGTTTTTAAAAGGTCATGAGATTGAACTACCCATTTAACCTGGATTGGGCAGAACTAGTAAAGATATCAGGCTTTTAGTATAAAGGATACAACCCTACAGTTTCACAGATACAAATTTTGAATATCTTTATACTATCTAATAAAAATGAGTTTGCAAAAATTATTAAACATGTAAATAAACTGGTAATTGAGCTGGCTTAGCTGAGAGAAAAGGCTACTTAAAAACTTTCGCACAATAAGTGTATGCAAATATGTGTTCATTAAAATAGTCTCTGACAGCCGCCAGAAAAGAGCAATTCAAGCTACTAAATGTACATGAAAAATTATAACTTTAAAAAATATCCTGTCAAACTTTTCATTAATTCAGAATGTTCTCTCCCAAGTGCAAGTTAGTAATTTGATTTTACCTTTTTTTCCTACAAATTTGCTAGTTTTGCTCAACCCTCTAGATGAATCCAGTTTTGCAAGTTGCTTGCAATAACTAATTCAGAGAAATATTTTAAGCATACACTATACATAAATTATATACAGAAAATCATTTTCTTTTCATGTAGCTAAAAAGCAATGTAGAAGAAGATTCCTTAGGTTTTTAAAAATATTATTCAACTACCTATGACTGCTTTATAAAATTATACTAAGCTTGGCATGTAACTAACAATCAATTGCCTCTTGAATTTTATATCCAAAAGATCTAAAGGAGATGGAAGTTTTAGGGAAATGAGGGAAGAAAATAAAGTTCTCTTTATCCAGTCTTAAAGAGGTATACCTAATTGTTTTCTGCATGCCTTAAAAAAGGTCCCAGTCTGGGTTTCTACCTGATGTAAGCCCATTTGATTTGTACTTAGTGAATAGTCATGGGTGATCATGGGTGAGAGAAGTAAACTCTTAGATTCACACAGAGAAGAACAGCACAGACAATGGCATCCTGCTGGCAGCCTGGAAGGAAGCTAAACATTCTTATTCAGTGACATCCCCAAAGTCAAGACACCATTTTTAAAAGCAGCTTGAACTGTCACAAAAAGGGTTTCTCTTTTACACATTTTATTTCTGACCTTTTTCTTTAAAAAGAAAAACCTTAATATTCAATTTATTCAATTAAATTCAAGAAAAA
This sequence comes from Homo sapiens, assembly GCF_000001405.40. NCBI lineage: Eukaryota > Metazoa > Chordata > Mammalia > Primates > Hominidae > Homo > Homo sapiens. The sequence goes on along the minus strand of NC_000023.11, from coordinate 86,263,517 downwards.
ACAATAATTGCATTAAAATTCAATTAAATTCAAGAAAAAACACATCCACTCCCACCCATGTTGTTAATCTACTTGTTGTTAATCTACTTGATGTCTCCAACCTGAACTCACACATATGGTGCATTTAATCTAAATAAATCTAAATAAATGCAAAATTTAAATAATTAGTATAAAATACTCCTGCAATGCTATTCTTCTAATGCCGTTTTTTAAAGCTATGTTACATAAGTTAAATAAAGCCCATTTTAAAGGCATTGGCTACTTAGGTGATAAACATAAGCAGTAAATTCACTTTCCTAAATTGCCCCATATATTATATTTAATCCTCCTTCTGCAATCACCAGCACTGAAGTATACATTCATAGCTGCTTTCTTTTGACATGGTTCTTTTATTACTGTCTCTTTTCCTTACATAATGTCCTGCAGCAGCTGGTCTATTATTATGATGCTTTTTTCTCCTTTTTCTTTAGCGGTTTTGCTAGCACAAAGAATTAAAATGTACTTACCTTCCACTGCTTTGGCTGCAACTAAGAGTGCTTTGGGTGCATATGTCTGGGAATGGGATGGGGGTTGTTTTAATGTGGAGGGAGACTGAGATTGTTTGTTTCTTTCTATTTCTGAACAGTGACATATTGATATTTCTGATAATAAATCATTCCAATTTGTTCATCCCTGCAACCAATGGTTTTAATTTTCATGTACATGTTGCAAAGTCCATTTTGTTAGAAGCATTTGATAAAATACTCAATTACCATTTTTTCCACTGTAGTTCAACTGCTTTGCTGATAAAAGGCTCCAGCTCAGAAGATAAACTGTAAGTAATTCCTGAAGAACAAATGTCAGAGGCGGTATACAATGAATGGCATTTTTTTTTTTGGAGCAGATTATTCTATCACCAATGTGACAGGGTGGTTCAAATATTTATTTTGTTGAAAATGTCATTTAAATATTGTTTGACACCTGCTCCCTATAGTCATCTGCTCATCACATTTCAATTTCAAGGGATTTAAAAGTGAGATTTAACTCTATGTCCAGCAAGAAAAGAGAAACTCATCTACAAACCAAGATAAGAATACACTGCTGATATATGCAAATTATTTAAATAAATGGAAATGCAATTGATTCAGTTTTGTGGATCTATATGGGAGAAGAATATGTAAGTTTCAGCACCCTCTCCTGTCCTTAGCTTTCAAGTGTTTATTTTTTTGTTTGTTTGTTTTGTTTTGTTTTGAGACAGGGTCTCCCTCTATTGCCCAGGCTGGAGTGCAGTGGCAGGATCATGGCTCATGGAAGCCTCAGATTCCTGGGATCAAGCAATACTCTGCCTCAGCCTCCCGAGGAGCTGGAACTACAGAGGCATGCCACCGGGCCCAGCTAGTGTGTGTTTTTTTTTTTCTTTTATAGAGATGGGATCTTGCCATGTTGAACAGGCCTGTTTTGAACTCCTGGCCTCAAGCAATCCTCTCACCTCAGCATCCCAAAGTGCTGGGATTACTGGTATGAGCCACTGTGCCTGGCCTCAAGTGTTTATTTTTGACACCACATTTGAAATTTGGCCAGAAATGAACCTACCTGTTCATTCATTAAATTGTCTTTTTCTAGGTAATCTACTGTTGAAAATAATCACTTCACTCACCCTACTTCAATTTCCCTCCATATGCAAGCTCTAGGTGGTATTAATCATTGGCTGAAAAGACAGCTTACAGTGCAGAAGGCTATAATAAGCTAACTTTTATTAATGGGAAGGAGCTTATTTTATTGACCTCTATTTGCTCAACTTGGAAAGTTCCTATTAGGTGCTCAGCAAGTGGGGATGGTTATAATTTCAAGTATGGGCCCCAGAATGAAATGTACTCCACTAAGCATTTTTCTTCCTAGAAATTCCTCTTCATTTTCCACTCCCAGTCAATCATTTTTGGCAGTTTTAAGTCCATTACATTTTTTGCTGTGAATTTTAAATGGTTAGAAGATGTCTCCACATAAAATCAAGCCTTTATCCCTGCCTCACTCTTTGGAAAGCCACAAGGCAGTAGAAAATGGAGTCAAGAAGGAAAAGATAAAGAGAAAAAGGATAAGAGCCATCAGGTGAAGAAGAACCAAAGAACTGGCTTTGAAATTTTCTGTTTGCTTTACTACCAATTGTTTTGGTGCTATGACTTTATTTTTCACTAAATCTCCCTGCATTATATCATTAGATTACCTCAGGGATCCAACGCATGTCATGTATTTGCATACTACCTTCACTGCAAACGTGTTTTAATCTTTCTAGTAAAATTATAAGAAACTGCTCCATTCAAGAAAAATGCTGAGACACCACTGAGTAAAGAAGTGTGAAAATTGTGAAGATTTATTCACCAGTCATTTAACTCTTTAGCTCCTAGAACTTTTCTGAAGCACTTGGGAGCTCTGAACATGTGAAATAGCTGGATTTGAATCACTGACAAAAGGCAATGCAGGCAATTGAAGTAATCAACTCTGTCTACTTAATTAAAATTGCTAAAATTACTGGAAGCATCATTTAGACTGGGCAACGTTAAGTAAGAGTTGAACAAATGTTGCCAAGGCTTAAGATGGAACATCCTGGATTAGACCTTCCAATTTTACTTTTTGGGATACTTTAGGTGCCTCTGCAAACACATTAACTCCATCCCTTAATAGGAGACACCATGATGTGAAAGAAAAGGTAACTCCTTGGAGCCAGACCCATCTGAGTTCCAATCCTTACAAAATTGTCTCCAGAGCAAGCCATGTATCCTCCCAGAGGCTCAGATTTTGCATCTGCAAAAATGGATTTAATCATGCCCTATTGAGGGGTATATAAGGATTAAATGAGATCTTTGGATTTTGTAAAAGGACTTGGCAAGTATGTAAAAGGACTTGGAATTAAGTAGGGATTAAACAAACGCATATTGAACAGATTTATTAAATTAAACTTACAGTTCCTGGGTTTTTGGTATGATTTCCAGCCACTAGAATTTAAGTTAAAAAATTCTGCTTCTTGCAGTAATTGCTAACTCTAGTGGCTTGAAAAAGTACATAGGTAATACAAAGATGTCCCCAAAGTACTTTACCTATTCGGAGAACCCAGCTCAGTGACCTGTGAAAGTAATCCACAGTCCTTGCTGAGAATTAGTGGGTTTTACATTTGTATCTTTACATAGAGGAGGTTCTTGAGAGTATCAGAATTGTAGGGCATGATCTTCTCAAGAAGAAAATAAGGTCAATCTCCCAGCACTAAGTTAAGTATTCTCCACAATAACTGCTGTTGACATTTAAAGGGGCAACATGAAGTCAGTTTGAGGACCACAAGTTGCTTCAGGAATATTACTGTATCTAGTAAGTTTTATCCGGTTTAAACTTATGGATTAAATCCATAAGTTAATTAATCATATGTTTGATATTGCAAAAAAAGAGTATAGACAGCATTTACCTATCTTGAATAGATTTTTTTGAAATATCTTGAAAGCAGACCTATGTCCACTACAAACTTGAGAGGTTTTCGTTTCATTACATAACATAGCCTATTTTAATCATTCAGAGATACTGATATTTCTAAAAAAAAATAAGCAGTAAGAAAATCTCCTTATTGCAGTCTATGTTTGGCATTGCATCAATATGGCCAAGAATATCTAATAAATCTACATAGATAATGGATAAGAGGATTTTTAAAATATGACGGCACCTGTCATGAGGAAACAAGGCCAATTAATAGAAGTCAGCTAAAAAAGATTTGTTTAAAGCTTCTCAAAGTTTAACTTAAGTTTTATCCAGTCTTAAAAACATATTATGATCCTCAACTTCAAGTCACTTCAATTGAACAAACATTTTAGTTCCTACTATGTGCAAGACACTATGCTAGCGGGTTAATTTATCTCCTCCCCTACTCTTAGAATTATCAGATGTAATCCTTTTAAAAATCAATTATTACTTTTCACTTGCCACTTGGAGAGTATTAAAGGTAATGAATCATTGTGTTTCCAAATCTTTCTTATTTTCCCCTCAACACCCTGTAGTTCAATATAGACACCATTACTTCTCTGCTACTATAGTGATTCCTTTTGTCATGCCTGAAACAACTACAGGACAGACATTAAATGCAATCTATATCCCCATAAATCATTGAATAAACGAATCATGGAATTAATATGTAAATTGTGTGTTTAACCTCTATTTATACAGCACTGTCTGTCACCATGTTGTAAATCTAAAACTAATTGCAAATTCACAACTCTGCAAAAAGAACACTAAGGAAAAAGCTTGACATATTTATTAACTAAATGTTGAACTACATTGAGTAAGTAATTAACAGTCATGCCAGAACAGGGAGAGAAAATTATATTTAAGCACAGATGTCACCTGCATGAAATGGCTAAAACTATTTTAGATTAGATTTTGATATTAATCAAAGAATATTGCTATTTAATTTTTGACAGGCAAATCTGTTTCCATTTATTCATGTTTCCATTAAGCATTTCATTTTTAAATGTTCATGTTACAATCATCCATTTGTCTCCTTAAAGAAAAGGAAAGAATCCCAAAAGGTTACATGACAATAAACCTACTCAAAAGTTAACCAAAGTCTCCTCAACTCAGCACATTAGTAACATTTTATATTTGACATATGGCTAAATATTTTAAAATAGACAATTTCTACATGTATTTTTATGATGTACCTAATAACACTATTTAAATATTTAATGGGTCTTGTCACCACTAACATGGGTACCTTCTGAAAGATTATTTCATTCCTAAAGAACAAGTTGTTCAAAGAACACAACTTTGAAGTTAAAGATGGCAAATAAATATATATACTGGAAAATGTATTAAACTAAGTATTCCTATCCTTTCATGAATCTAGATCATTAGTTTTAAGAACACAGTCTCACGGCTAGCTTCTATATTTCTAACGTGAGTTTCTATTAAGATACCAGATTTAAAAAGCATAACGCATAATTTCACTATAGGAAATGGTATGAAAATACAATAGATAATAATCTTGATTGTAATGAAAAATAATCACTTATTTCAGTTGATATTGCACGTGCAGATGAGAGGCAAAATGACCCTTAGCCTCTGACTTCCCTAGCTAATTTAATCTGCCTCACTGGTCACATTTACAAAGGGTAAAAAAGAAAAGAAAAGATTTTAAATTTAACTAATGAAAACTGTGTCCCAGAGTTTTACATGTCAGTAAACATTGTGTGCTTTCAATTTCCTCACATCTGGGAAGTTTAGAATGTGCCTGAATACTTTCAAAAAACCTAACCTGCAAAGCCAAGCTTAAAAAATGAACAACTTTCTGATTTAAAAAATTTAAAAAGAATTGTATGATGGTGAGGAAATCAATACTCGATTCTTTATTCTGAAAAATATTTTTTTTCCAATATGCCAAAATGTCATTAGTACTCAACCATCCCTATGGATGGTTTATAGTGAGCTATCCACATTCTCTTGCCTGATTGTCCTAATAACCAATGACATGTGTTCTTAAAGGAGCAGACTGGAATTAGTATATTGCATATCTGTGAGGCAGAATTTGTCTGAGTTTAAGGCTATCTAGACCCTATCCGATCTGTATCCATATCTGTGGTGATTCTAACCAAACTAACTAGAGCAAATTCCACCATCCCAAGAATCCTGAATAGAAAAGAAAGAGAAAGCATCTTAGCTGACCATATCAAACAAAAGCAGAAAAAATAAAACCATAATGACAATATTTTTATATAGTTATTGTCATTAGAATTAATTAGACTGCAATAATCAGGCATTTTTTTTCCTTTGCTTCTTATATATTAAGAGCAAGAGTTGTAGGCCAGGTGTGGTGGCTCACGCCTGTAATCCTAGCACTTTAGCAAGCCTAGGTGGGAGGATCTCTTGACCCCAGGAGTTGGAGACCAGCCTGGGAAATATAGTAAAACCCCATCTCTACAAAAGCACAAAAAATTAAACGAGCATGGTGGCATGGGCCTGTGGCCCTAACTACTCAGGAGGCTGAGGCAGGAGGATGGCTTGAGCCCAGGAGCTGGAGGCTGCAGTGAACCAAGATCACACCTGTCTCCAAAAAAAAAAAGAAATTGGTTCAATATATCTCACTCCCTTTTCCATATGATCTGTCAGCTAGATCCAATGACAGAAATAATTGAAGGGATGTAAGTGGAAGAAAGAGGAAGACCATTTCTTAGAGGAAATATCAAGACACCCCAAAAGTAGGTTACATGCAATAAGGCACATAAAGAGTTTAGCACATTGCCTAGAGCATAATAAGAGCCTAATAAATGTTAAATACGATGACAAAAGTGATGATGATTAAGATGATACTAACAACACCTAAAAATACAATCAATACGCCCACCAACACAGTGCTTAAGGATTTTATATAAAGGATCATTACACAGTCATTAAATAGCATATTTCTGAAGATTATTGAAAAATCACAAAAGTATTCATCATACAATGTTAAGTGAAAAAAAGATGCAGAAATGTGTAAAGCTTATGATCCTAATTTTGTTTAAATAAATATGTAGATGTGTGCATAGAGGAAATGAAGAAAGGTAATGCAATACCTTTGGATTATGTGAATATAGGGGATTAATATTTGACTTTACACAAATTCCCAAATGTTTTCTAACTTATATTTTACTTTTATAAGAAGAATATACACACACACAAAATGAGGTGGAGATCTAATCTCTAAACACAAAAATTCTCATACCTTAAATAGGCAGTTCTCAAAGGTTTTGGTCTTAGGACTGTTTTCCATCTTATTTATCAATTCATTAAAAATACAATAATAAAACCATTATCTATTAACATAAATAATACATTTTAAGACAAGGTAACTATTTTTAAAAACAAACAAGCAAAAACAATATTCAGTGACAAGAATGGCACTGTTTTACATTTTTTGTAAATTCAAAAGACAACTGAATTCTCTTCTACGTTCAGTCAGATGCAGTATGTTGTTTTGGTTAAAGTACAGGGAGAAAATTTAGTCTCACGCGCATGTGTACTTGAAAAAGGAGGGACCTATGGAACCATTGAAAGCATCTTAGAGGCCTCTGGGAGTACCCAAGACTGTAGTTTGAGAACTGCTTCCTTAATTCAATGCATTATTTTGTGAGAATATTTTTCTTTTATTATAATTCTCATCTTGGACATCAGTGGCATGTCTCTCTTCAGAAGAAAGTCATGCTTTGCTATTTTGGTCAAAATAGAGTATGTAGAGAAATACCATGCTGCTCTTCAAGAAGTTATAATTTGGTATTTTATTTCTGATTAGTATGTTGATTAATTAATATATAGATCAATTAGTATCTTCACTGATGTTCTATATGTTTCCCTAAAAGAGGTACCTCACTTCACATGATGTGCTTTTTTCCCACTAGTTTTGTTTTTTGTTATATTCTTTTTTTAAAAAAATAAAAATCCCTATGCTTAGTTTGCCCAGTGACACATTTTATGAGCCTAAAGCTGGAGTGCTAGATGGAAAGAAAGAAAAATGTGGTGCTCATTTCCACCTTTGTCAATAATCTTCATGTGGGGGTTTGGGCAGGTTCTTCAATCAACCTGTGGCTAAAATGATAACAAAGTTGTAACCCTGCCCATGTTATAATTTATATATTTTGTTGGAAATTTTTTGTGTTAATTATGTGTGTTTCCTTTAATTTTGTTTATTAAAATGCAATCAGTTTTGCAAACTTCATGATTTATATAGAACTTCACTAATATCATCTTAATGCAATAAAATATTTTTAAAATAATCATCAAAAAGTTATTTTGTTCCCATTTACTTATTTCCAGAAAAAGACAAATATTGGCCACGTAGGTTAACTTAGACTGCTGGGAAGGAAAAGAGAATAACATTTTTCAACTACTTACTACAAACACGGTCGTGTGCTAGGTTCTATTTACATGTCATCTCCCAGTTCACTGATCAGGAGACCTACACTCAAAGAGGGAAAGTATCTTGCCTAATATCGCCTAGTTAGTTATATGTAAGAGCAAGTTGGCCAGAAATCAAAAGCTGGGTTGTACAGGTTTTACTACACACTGCACCTTCTTCTAACCGAATCTCATCCCAGCTCAATATATCTTTCATTCCAAACCAAAAGTGTAAATCTATTAATAGTTCCAATTTAAAAAACAATAAGAACCAAGTTATATCAAGAGACATATAGAACTATTACCATAATTTACCTATTCTGTATGCTAAGATGAGAAGAAATTGCCAAAAGTGAGCATTTTCTTCGCCTCCTGTTTAAAATGGAGATTGGCACTACACTGTCTGTTCTCCCGGGAGATTTACATTAAAGAGAAAAAACTTTTTCCTACTTTTTTGTTTTCATCTTTTCCTTGTCTGTGTCCAACATTTCATTCTCGAAAGGAGAAAGAGCTGCTCATCTCAGTGGCAGGAAAGAACAATCTTCGATTTATAACATGCTAGGATCCCATCACTGTGATAGAGCAATCTTTCCTTTGGACATCTCTCCATTACTGAAGCTGATACCTTCCTACCCTGATGCCACTTCAGTACTGATCTGTCAGTCCCAACAGCAGGGCTAATGGCACCACCTGCCTCTATGTGCATTTTTCAACTTTATCTCAGAAAACTTCTTTTATGGGTTCTTCTTTAAACAAATAGTAAAAATGTACTTTCTGCAATTTTTGTTTTATAAACCTTCTCTCTCTCTCTCTCTCTCTCTCTCTCTCTATATATATATATATATATATATATATTTATTTATTTGAATAACACCCCACACACTTGGCATGATATCCTAGGTCCATTTGCTTTCCCTCTTTCCCTTTCCCTTTCTTATGAGTGCTTCTTCAATTCTTACGAAACACACAAAAAAAAAATAAGTAGACAAGCTTCATTTTCAGAGCACTGCAGAAATAGTGAACCAGGAGATGGTTGAATTACTAACAGGAAGTCACTGAAATAGATGCAAGGATCCTTTAATTAAAGCCTCCTTGCTAGAGCTAAATTTCATTCTTAGCTGTCATTTTTGAATTTGGTACATGACATAAACTAGTTACTGAAATTACTGTTTTAATTGCTTTACACAAAATACTTAAGGGCATACAAAAAAAGAGAAAGAGAGCATCACATGAAAATCTCAAGTTTCTAGAAAGGTAACAAACAAGAAAAAGAAAATATTAATAAACAGTAACCCATGTTTAGGCAGCCAGCAACAATTCTGAAGATTTTATTTGCCTTACTATGAAGTAGGCATAAGAATATTAAAGTGACACTGTTACATCTCTGTAGGATGATCTTTAATACATGGTCAAATTTATCTAAACAAAACATATTAGAAATTGTTAGCCAATTGTCAGAACTCCAATTTCCCTATGATCTAAAATGTAAATGCCACATGCAAAGAATATATTTTGATTAAAGCTGATCATCTAACAAGAAGTTTGATGTTCCCATTATACCCAAGGATTGTTTCTGGAGCTGATTCTTTTTAACTTAATATTCACTGATTGATAATATCCATAGAAAACTTTTAGAAACCCAATACATCTTACAAAAATATTTATGAAGATTTAATAGATTTTTCTATAAATATTAGAAGCTTATCAACCAATGTGTCAAAAATTACAAATAATATAATTTGCAAATATCTGTGTCACTTCCTTTCTGGCATCATTGCCCTGATACAGTAAGCATAAAGAATCCAACCAGATGTCTGGGTAACTTATAGGGTCTTATAGATGTTGCCTTTCCTTATTCTTCTCTTACATCCCAGAGTTTCCTGGTTTTCAAAATCCATCTGGTTCTTAAACCAATGATGACTGCAAACACAGGGTAAGGCAAAAATAATTTTTCAGACACAAATAACACATTCTTCTGGGAGTCACACGTTATACCAAGCTCCCCTAGAATTTCTGACCTGAAGACATAAAAATCATTATTTAGGCCTTCTGTCAAAAATGGTTTAGAACTTTGTATGCTGGAGCTATTTAGATGGCAAATCTGAATCTCACTAGTCTTGTTGAAGGTTTTCAAAAATTGTTAAATTTGCACATCAACATGCAAAAAGGCAATACGTATTGATAACTTGAGCAATAGCAAAATAATAGAAGGGAATTTGGGAAGCAGCTTTTAAGAGGTGATAAGATTGTCAACGGGAAATGCATTGAATTTGTAGATTGCTTTTGACAGTATGGTCATTTTCACAATGTTGATTCTACCCACCCATGAGCATTGAATGTGTTTCCATTTGTTTGTGTCGTCTATGATTTCTTTCAGCACTGTTTTGTAGTTTTCCTTGTAGAGGGCTTTCCCCTCCTTGGTTAGGTATATTCCTATGTAGTTTTTTTTTAATTTATTTTTTTGCAGCTATTGTAAAAGGGGTTGAGTTATTGATCTGATTCTCAGCTTGGTCACTGTTGGTGTATAGCAGAACTACTGATTTGCTTACATTAATTTTGTATCCTGAAACTTTGCTGAATTTATTTATCAGTTCTAGGGGCCTTTTGGAGGAGTCTTTAAAGTTTTCTATGCATATAATCATATCATCTGCAAACAGTGACAGTTGCACTTTCTCTTTCCCGATTTGGATGCCCTTTATTTCTTTCTCTTGTCTGATTGCTCTGACTAGGACTTCCAATACTATGTTGAATAGAAGTAATAAAAGAACTAGAGAAAACAATCCTAAAATTCATACAGAAACAAAAAAGAGCTCACATAGCCAAACCAAGACTAAGCAAAAAGAACAAAGCTGGAGGCATCACATTATCTGACTTCAAACTATACTATAAGGCCATATTCACCGAAACAGCATAGTACTGGTAGAAAAATAGACACATAGACTAATGGAACAAAATAGAGAAGCCAGAAATAAACCCAAATACTTACAGCCAACTGATCTTCGACAGAGCAAACAAAAACATAAAGTGGGGAAAGGACACCCTATTCAACAAATGTTGCTGGGATAATTGGCAAGCCACATGTAGGAGAATGAAATTGCATCCTCATCTCTCAACTTACACAAAAACCAACTCAAGATCGATCAAGAACTTAAATTTAAGACCTAAGCCTATAAAAATTATAGAAGATAAAATCAGAAAAACCATTTTAGACACTGTCTCAGGCAAAGACTTCATGGTCAAGAACTCAAAAGCAAATGCAACAAAAACAAAGATAAATATATGGGACTTAATTAGACTAAGGAGCTTCTGCATAGCAAAAGAAGCAGTCAGCAGAATAAACAGACAACTCAGAGAGTGGGAGAAAATCTTCACAATCTATACGTCCAGCAAAGGACTAATATCCAGAATTTACAAGGAACTCAAACAAATTAGCAAGAAAAAAAAATCAATCACATCAAAAAGAGGGCTAAGGGTATGCATAGACAGTTCTCAAAAGAAGATATACAAATGGCCAACAAACATGTGAAAAAAATGGTCAACGTCACTAATTATCAGGGAAATGCAAATCAAAACCACAATGTGATACCACCTTACTCCTGCAAGAGTGGCCACAATAAAAAAATAAATAATAAATAGATATTGGCATGGACGCAGTGAAAAGGAAACACTTCTATGCTGCTGATGGGAATGTAAACTAGTAAAATCATTATGGAGAACAGTGCGAAGATTCCTTAAAGAACTAAAAGTAGAACTACCATTTGACCCAGCAATTCCACTACTGGGTACCCATCCAGAGGAAAATAAGTCATTATACGAAAAAGATACTTGTACACGCATGTTTATAGCAGCACAATTCGCAACTGCAAAAATATGGAACCAGCCCAAATGCCCATCAATCAACGAGTGGATAAAGACAATGTGGTATACATATATACGATGGAACACTACTCAGTCATAAATAGTAACAAATTAATGGCATTTGCAGCAACCTGCATGGAACTGGAGACTATTATTCTAACGGAAGTAACTCAGGAATGGAAAACCAAACATCGTATGTTCTCACTCATAATTGGAAGCTAACCTATGAAGATGCAAAGGCATAAGAATGATACAATGGACTTTGGGGACTCGGGGGAAAGGGTGAGAGAGTGGTGAGGGATAAAATACTACAAACTGGGTTCAGTGTATACTGCTTGGGTGATGGGTGCACCAAAATCTCAGAAATCACCATTAAAGAACTTACTCATGTAACCAAATACCACCTGTTCCCCAAAAACCTATGGAAATAAAAATTTAAAACGATTGTCAATGAAATAACAGAGAAGATTCCAAACAGACTAAAGTATTTCTTCATTTAATGAAACTTAGAAGAAATTTGCTGCTTTTACAACTTTGATATCGCCATGAAACCATGGAGATTTCTTAGACCATCTCCAAGCCTCATTTAATGTATCTCTATTTTTAACGGACAACTATGCTTTACATACTTTTAATAACATTTTTATGCTCAGGGAAGGTGTGGACAAATTGTACTACTGGAAAGACAATGCAAGTAAGTATCTGATGCCTACAGCATCTATAAAAGTTAGGGGTCAGGATACCTACAGGCACACCTACCTTTTTGAAACTGGAAACCTCAATTGCAGCTCCAGAAAGTTAATCACCTGATTGAAAGGTAGGCTGAACTTTATTTTATCTTAGAATTAAGACAACAGCAGTGAGATTTTTACAATAACAATGTTATAATCAATGCTGTAGCCTCAGTTGTTAATGCTCCACTTACCTTTAAAAGCAGATGTAACAACCCAGAAAGAACAATATTATAAATTCTTTATCTGGTGTTAAATTACTGTGGATTCATTGAATTATTATATTGCAGAGTCTTATCAGCAACATTAACTTAAAAACCAAATGAATGTTATTTGAAATGATATATCCTAATTTCCCCACTCTTAGAACTTTGTAGTTACCTTTAAACACTGTTTATAATAAGAATGTATAGCACTCAGAAAACATTTCCAAAATGTGTAATGACTTCAAATGAAGAAAATATGAAAATATGTAAAATCACTTTAAAATAGTACAAAGTGGCATAAAATATGCAGTATTATTAACAATTGTTTTTATAACTCCAGTTGATTTTTTGTGTATCCATATAACAATATTGATTTATTGGCCAAGAATGAAGCAATACTCTGAACTAGAAATACCTGTAATAGGCACATATTGAAATTCCTATTATACCAAAATAATAGACTCTCAGTTCTCAAATATACCCTGCCAGTGCATATAAAATGACCACATTGACAACATTTTAATGGTTTACCTTTGATAATCTCAAATCTTCCCAATTACGTTAATTCCTTGGCCAAGGATGGGAAGAATAGATGGCACAGTATTCACAGTGAGTTTTTCTTTTCTTTCCAACTTTTATTTTAGGTTCACGAAGTACATGTGCAAGTTTGTTACATGGGTAAATTGTGGAATGCAGGGGTTTGGTGTACAGATTATTTCATCACGCAGGTAATAAGCATACTACCTGATAGGTAATTTTTTATTCCTCACCCTCCTCCCTCCCTCCACCATCAGGTAGGCCCAGGTGTCTGTTGTTTCCTTCTTTGTGTCCATATGTATTTGATGTTTAGCTTCCACTTATAAGTGAGAACATGTAGTATTTGCTTTCTGTTCCTGCATTAATTTGCTTAGGATGATAACCTCCAGCTCCATCCAAGTTGCTGAAAAGGACATGATCTCATTCTTTATTATGGTTGTGTAGTAATCCATGGTGTATATGTATCATATTTTCTTTATGTAATCCACTATTGGTGGGCATATAGATTGATTCCAGGTCTTTGCTATTGTGAATAGTGCTGTGATGAACATAGATGTGTATGTGTCTTAATGGTAGAATAATTTATATTCCTTTGGGTATATACCCAGTAATAGGATTGCTGTGCCAAGTGGTAGATATGTTTTAAGGTCTTCAAGAAATCTCCAAAGTGCTTTTCACAGTGGCTGAGCTAATTTATATTCATACCGGCAGTGTATAAGTGTTCCATTTTCTCTACAGCATCACCAGCATCTGTGATTTTTTAACTTTTTAATAATAGCCATTCTGACTAGTATGAGATGATATCTCATTGTGGTTTTAATTTACATTTCTCTAGTGAACAGTGATATTGAACATTTTTTCATATGCTTGTTGGCCAAGTGTATGTATTCTATAGAGAAGTATCTGTTCATGTCCTTTGCCCATTTTTCAATAGGGTGTTTCTTTTTCTTGTTCATTTGCTTAATTTCCTTATAGGTTCTGGATATGAGACATTTGTTGCATGCATAAGATACAAATATTTTCTCTCATTCTGTGGGCTGTCTGTTTACTCTGTTAATAGTTTCTTTTGATTTGCAAAAGCTCCTTAGTTAAATTAGGCCCCACTTATCAGTTTTTGTTTGTTGAAATTGCTTTTGAAGGCTTTGTCATGAAAACTCTGCCAAGGGCTATGTACAGAATAGAATGTCCTAGGTTTTCTTCTAGGGTTTTTTAAGTTGTAGGTTTTACCTATAAGTTTTTAATCCATTTTGTGTTGATTTTTGTGTATGGTGTAAGGAAGGGGTCCAGTTTCAACCTTCTGAATATAACTAGTCAGTTATCCCAACACTATTTATTGAATAGGGAGTTCTTTCCCCATTGCTTTTTTTGTTGTTGACTTTGTCAAAGATCAGATGGTTATGGGTGTGCAATAAAGCAATCTGATTTCTGGATTCCCTATTACGTTCTATCATTCTGTGTGCCTGTCTTTGTACAAGTACCACGCTGTTTTGGTTACTGTAGCCTTGTAGTATAGTCTGAAGTTGGGTATGGTGATTCCTCAGGCTCTACACTTTTTACTTAGGATTGTTTCAGCTATTTGAGCTCTTTTTTGGTTTCATATGAATTCTGGAACAATTTTTTCTAATTCCATGAAAAATGGTATTAGTAGATTGATAGGAATAGCATTGAATCTATACACTGCTTTGGGGAGTAACGCCATTTTAACAATATTGATTCTACCTATCCATGAGGATGGTGTGTTTCTCCATTTGTGTGTGTCATCTCTGATTACTTTCAGCAGTGCTTTGTAATTCTCATTGTAGAGATATTTAACCTTCCTCATTTGCGTATTCCTAGGTATATTTTTCTTTCTTTATGGCTATTGTAAATGGAATTGTATTCTTGATAAGGCTCTCAGCTTGGAGGTTGTTAGTGTATAAAAATGCTGCTGATTTTTGTGTATTGATTTTGTATCCTGAAACACTGATGAAGTCATTTATCAGATCTAGGAGCTTTGGAGCAGAAACTATGGGGTTTTCTAGGTATAAAATCATACTGTCTGTGAAGAGAGTTATTTTGACATCCTCTCTTCCTATGTGGGTGCCTTTTATTTCTTTCTCTTGCCTGATTGATTGCTCTGGCTAGGAATTCCAGTACTATGTTGAACAGAAGCTGTGAGAGTGGATATACTTGTCTTGTTGCAGTTCTCAAGAAGAATGCTTGCAGCTTTTGCCCATTCAGTATAATGTTGGCTGTGGGTTTGTAATAGAGGGCCCTTATTATTTTGAGGTATTTTTTTAATGCCTAGTTTGTTGAGAGTTTTATCATGAAGGGATATTGAACTTTATTGAAAACCTTTTCTGCATCTATTGAGATGACCATGTGGTTTTTGTTTCTAGTTCTATCTATGTGATGAATCACCTTTATTGATTTGCATAGGTTGAGCCAACCTTGCATCCTGGGAATAAAGCCTACTTGATCATGATGGATTTGCTTTTTGATGTGCAGCTAGATTTAGTTTGCTAGTATTTTGTTGAGGATTTTTCCATCTACGTTAATCAGGGATATTGGCCTAAAGTTTTCTTTTTGTGTTGTGTCTCTGCCAGGTTTTGTATCAGAATGATGCTGGCCTCATAGAATGAGTCAGGGAGGAGGCCCTCTATGTTCATGTTAATGAATCTATGTTCATATCTATGAACATAGATTATTGATTCAATTTTGGAACTCATAAATTATAAGTCTGTTCAGAGATTCAATTTCTTCCTGGTTCAATCTTGAGAAGTTGTATGTTTCCTGGAATTTATCTATTGTTTTCTAGTTTGTATGCATAAAGGTATTTGTAATAATCACTGGGTGTTTTTTGAATTTCTGTGGAGTTGGTGGTAATATCTCCTTTGTCATTTCTGATTATTTTTATTTGGGTCTTCTCTTTTTTTCTTCTTCAGTAGTCTAGCTAGTGGTCTATTGATCTATTTATTCTTTAAAAGGACCAACTTTGGTTTCATTGATCTTTTGTGTGGTTTTTCATGTCTCAATTTCATTCAGTTCAGTTCTGATTTTGGTTACTTCTTTTCTTGCTAGCTTTAGGGTTGGTACACAATTGTTTTTCTAGTTCCTCTACATGTGATGTTAGGAACTTCACAGAACTTGCTTTATGAATCTAGCTGCTCCAGTGTTAGATGCATATAAATATAGAATAGTTAAGTCTTCTTGTTGAATTGAACCTTACCATTATATAATGCCTGTCTTTGTCTTTTTCATCTTCATTGGTTTAAAATTTGTTTTGTCTGAAATTAAAAAGCAACCCATGCTTTTATTTTGTTTTTCATTTACTTGGTAGATTTTTCTCTATCCCTTTTCTTTGAGCCTATCCATGTCATTGCATGTGAAAGGGGTCTCTTAAAGACAGCAAATAGTTGGGTCTTGCCTCTTTATCCAACTTACCACTCTAAGCCTTTTAAGTAGGGTGTTTAGCCTGTTTACATTCAAGGTTAATATTGATATGTGTGGACTTCATCCTATCACACTGTTATCTGGTTGTTATTCAGACTTGATCGTATAATTGCTTTGTATTGTCAATGGTCAAAGTATGTTTTGGCAATATACTTAAGTGTGTTTTCGTGGTGGCTGGTAACTGTCTCATTTCCATGTTTAGCACTCACTTAAGGACCTCTGGTAAGACAGGTCTGGTGGTAACAAATTATTTTAGCATTTACTTGTCTGAAAAGGAACTTATTTCACCTTTCACTTATAAAGCTTAGCTTGGCCAGATATGAAATTCTTGTTTGGAATTCCTTTTCTTCCACAATGCTCAATATATGACCCCAGTCTCTTCTGGATTATAGCGTCTCTGCTGAAAGGTTCACTGTTAGCCTGATAGAGTTCACTTTGTAGGCAACCTGCCCCTTCTCTCTAGCTGTCTTTAATGTTTTTTCTTTCCTGTTGACCTTGGAGAATCTGATGACTATATGTCTTGGGGATGATCCTCTTGTATAGTATTTCACATGGGTTCTCTGAATTTCCTGAATTTGAATGTTGACCTCTCGCAAGTTTGGGAAATTTTTCATGGACAATATCTTCAAATATGTTTCCAATTTGCTTGTGTTCTCTCCCTCACTTTCAGGGATGCCAATGTTCATATGATTGGTCCCTTTATATAATCCTATATTTCTTGGAGACTTTCTTCATTCCATTTTATTCTTTTTTCTTTATTTTTATTTGATTGAGGTGGTTCAAAGAACCAGTCTTCAAGCCCTGAGATCCTTTCCTCGGCTTGGTGTATTCTGTTGCTAATACTTCTGATTGTATTGTGAAATTCCTGTAGTTTATTTTTCAGCTCTATCAGATCAGTTTGTTTCTTTCTTAAAATGTCTTGCAGCTCTTGTAACATTTTATTAGATTCCTAAGATTCTTTGGATTGGGTTTCAACTTTCACCTGAATTCTGATTATCTTTGTCACTATCCAGATTCTGAATTCTATATGTCATTTCTGCCATTTCAGCCTGGTTAAAAATCATGGCTGGAGAGTTAGTGTGGTTGCTTGGAGGCAAGATATTCTGGCTTATAGAACTGCCAGAGTTCATGTGCTGGTTCTTTCTCCTGTGTGGGCTGATATTCATTTAATCTTTAATGTTGCTGTTTTTTGGATGGGATTTTTTGCTTTTATATTCTTTTATGCCTTTGAAGATTTGACTGTAGTATAACTTTGATTCAGTCAACTGCTTTCATTTCTGGCTGGTTTCAGGGGACCAAAGATCAGCTCAGCATTCCTGGGCTACATGCTATAACCTCGCGGGGCTAGTACCAGGCCCATGAATTTGTTCTCTGGTCCCTCAAGGTTAAACACCTTCTGCTCTAAAGGGGCAAGGTGTTCCTGGTACACTGGCAACAACATTTTGATGGGGAGTTACCAGCAAAAGCACCTCATCAGGTGGTGACAGCAGGGTCCATGCTCGTGCACATGTGCCAGCAGTAGTGGAGCAACAGAGTCCATAAGCATGCATAGGTGGTGTCAGGGTGGTGGGGAATGCAAGCATGCACTTGCACCAGTTGTGGCTCTGTGGCAGTGCCTGTGCATGGACATGTCCTGACAGTGGCGGGGTGGGGTACATTACTGCCAGCAGGAACACTGAGTTTTTTTTCAATGCTTCTTCAAAGTAAGACAGCTATAACAGTTATAAAACAATAACAGCTTTTATAATAGCTATAAAAACAATTTGTTGTATTGGTTTTATCACATTATATCTTATATTATTTTCTGTAATAACCTTAATTTTGTTGTTCTTACAGTCCTGCCTTAAGTCCTTTACCAGACTATATCTTACTGATAGTGCAAACCTTATTAAATAATAAAGACTGCATATCTACATATAATACAAGGTGATAGATGTATTTTTCTAGTTTGTTTTTACTTATTTCACCAGTTACATATAATGTATGTTCATTGGGAAGCAAGTATTTTCTGTTTCTATAATAATTTTTAGTGGCAATCTCTTTATCCCAGATTGTGAAATTCTAATTATAATGTGTTGTCTACAGAGTATTATAAATTTGAAAAACTTTTTAATGCTTGTGATAAATATTTAAGGTAGTAACAGTGAATATTTCTCTTCATTTTACAGGCAAGGAAGCTATGATCAAGAGAAGTTAAGTGAGTTGCATGTCACACAGACAGCAACAGGTTCAGCCAACCCAAGACTAGAGTTATTTTTAGAGATGGCGTCTCACTCTACTGCCCAGGCTGGAATGCAGTGGTACAATTGTGGCTCACTGCAGTGTCAAACTTAAGGGCTTAAGCGATCCTCCCACTTCAGCCTCCTGAGTAGCTGGAACTAGAGGTGCATGCCAACATGCCCAGCTAATTTTGGAGGAAATTGGATATTTTCTGTCTTCTATTCTTCCTTCTGCCACAACACACTGCTTACACCTCCATCTAATAAAATAATTTTCCTTGCACCATCCCTAAGTTAGCTATGATTGTATCTTCCCACGAATTTATTCAGTATTAGAAGAAGTATTGATAGTATTGGGATAATCAATTGACTCAGAGGATGATTATAGAACAGAAAGGCTTTTGTCCCCTGTTCAAATTCAGTGTAGAACTGCAATAAACTCAGATTGATGTACTCAATCTTTTTGATTGGCTTTGCTATGTGGCTTCACTTAGGACCTATTAACAAATAAAACCCCTTTAAGAATAATTTCCACATCTTAATGCAAAATAGTCAGTTATTAAAATGTATTACAGTAGGCCAAACATACAAATGTTGCTTTGTGAATGTAAAAGGTTCATTGAATTTCCCAGATAATCAGATATTGATATATAAGAAAATAAAAATAGATTATTCTAAATTATCAATACAAAATTTTTATTAAATATTTAATATAATGCTATAAAATACTGCCAATTTCCTAATGTAAAGGTGATGAAGTACAGATGCTTCATATGGAAAGATCTAAATGGTTTCCAGGACTCTGAAGAAAATTACACCCCCGAATTAATTTGTGACCTGATTGAATAGTCTATAATAAATTAAACTTCACAAACATTGATCTGATTTATTTCTATGCTTTACTGACAGTATGTTCTTTCTATGCTTTACTTACAGTCTTATTCTGATGAACTAAAGAAATAACCAGAGACTGCAGGGAGCACACTTTTCTTGGAGAGAATCCTGAGTAGTGATAACAACAAAGAAAATATTCTCTGCTTCTGTATAAATCCACTGTCTCTGAATAGTGGGCAATTTACCAAATCAAGATACTCTATTAAGGTAGAAAAAAAAATCTCTCTTACACAGGTAATGACCAGAAAATGAAAACTGACAGAGAAACTATCTCTTCACTATGATCCAGTTATTTTTTAAAAAAACATGAATTTTAGTGTGACTGAGGTTTACAAAATGATGTTATGGCATGGAAATAGTAAAATCCTTATTATAGTGAAACAAATTAACACATATTATCATCACACATAGTTACTTTCTTTAGAAAAGTAACTAAAATCTACCTATTTGACAAATATTCCCAATCCAAAAAAATTTTATTCACTATAGTCTTCAGGTGGTAGATTAGATCTCTCGACTTTTTTTTCCTATGTATCTGCTCCTTTGTATCTTTAGATCCTTATCTCCCCATTTTCTACCAACTCCAGCTCCCACAGCTCCTAGTAACCACTATGTCATCTAATTCTAAAAACTATGTGGGAAAGAATGAAGAACAAGAAGTAAAATAATACTACTCTGTTGGAGACCAGCCTGGTCAACATAGTGAGACCCCCATCTATATTAGTCCATTCTCACACTGTAATAAAGAACTACCTGAGACTGGGTAATTGATAAAGACAAGAGGTTTAATTGACTCACAGTTTCATAGGCTATACAGGAAGCATGGCTATGAGGCCTCAGAAAACTTACAATCACGGTGGAAGGTGAAGAGGAAGCAAGCACATCTTACCAAAATGGAGCAGGAGAAAGAAGGGGGAAGTGCCACACACTTTTAAACCATCAGATCTCATGAGAACACGCTCACTATCACAAGAGCAACTAGGGAGAAACCCATCCCCCATGATCCAATTACCTCCCACCAGGTCCCTCCCCTGACACGTGGGGATTACAATTTGACATGAGATTTGGGAGGGGACACAGAGCCAGATCATATCACTCAGCCCCTGGCTTCTCACAAATCTCATGTCCTTCTCACAATTCAAAACCAGTCATGCCTTCCCAACAGTCCCCCAAAGTCTTAACTCATTCCAGCATTAACTCAAAAGTCCAAATAAGTCCAAAGTCTCATCTGAGACAAGGCAAGTCCTTTCTGCCTATGAACCAGTAAAACCAAAACAATTCAGTTACCTTCAAGATAAAATGGGGGTGCAGGCATTAAGTAAATGCTACCATTCCAAAACGGAGAAATTGGCCAAAACGAAGGGGCTATAGGCTTCATGCAAGTCTGAATGCAGCAGGGCACTCAATAAATCGTAAAGCTCCAAAATAATCTCCTTTGACTCCTTGACTCACATACAGGACACAGTGATGCAAGGGGTGGGCTCGTAAGGCCTTGGGAAGCCCCACCCCTGTAGCTTTGCAGGGTACAGCACCTTTGGCTGCTTTCATGGTCTGGCAATGAGTACCTGCAGCTTTTCCAGATATATGGTGCAAGCTGTCAGTGGACCTACAATTCTGGGGTCTGGAGGATAGTAGCCCTCTTCTCACAGCTCCACTAGGCAGTGCCCCATTGGGGACTCTGTGTGAGGGCTCCAAGCCCACATTTCCCCTCTGCATTGCTGTAGTAGAGGTCTCCATGAGGGCTCTGCCCTTGCAACAGACTTCTGCCTGGACATCCAGATGTTTCCATGCATCCTCTGAAATCTAGGCGGAGGTTCCCAAACCTCAACTCTTGCCTTCTGTGCTCCTGCAGGCCCAACACCATGTGGAAGCTGCCAAGGCTTGGGACTTGTACCCTCTGAAGCCATGGCCTGAGCTGTTCCTTGGTCCCTTTTAGCCACAGGTGGACCTGAAGCAGTGCAGGGCATCATGTTCCAAGGCTGCACAGAGTAGCTGAGCCCTGGACCTGGCTCACAAAACCATTTTATCCTCCTAGGCCTTAGGGCCTGTGATGGGAGGGGCTGCTGTGACAGTCTCTGACATGCCCTTGAGAATGTTCCCATTGCCTTGGCTATTACCATTCAGCTTCTTTTATTTATGAAAATTTCTGCAGCCCGCTTGAATTTCTCCCTAGGAAATGGGCTTTTCTCTTCTACCTCATGATCATGCTGCAAATTTTGCCAACTTTCATGCTCTGCCTCCCTTTTAAATATAAGTTCCAATTTCAGACAATCTCATTACAAATTCATATCAGCATATGCTGTTAGAAGCAGCCAGGCCACATCTTGAACACTGCTGTTTAGAAATTTCTTCCTCCATATACCCTGATTCATCTCTCTCAAGTTCAAAGTTCCAAACATCTCTAGGGCAGGGGCAAAATGGCACCAGTCCCTTTGCTACAGCATAGCAAGAATGACCTTTACTCCAGTTTTCAATAGGTTCCTCATCTCCATCTGAGGCCACTGAACTTCATTGTCCATATCACTATCAGTATTTTGGTTAAAACCATACAACAAGTCTCTAGGAAGTTCAAAACTTTCCCACATCTCCCCGTCTTCTTCTGAGACTTCCAAATTGTTCCAACCTCTGCCCATTACCCAGTTCCAAAGTTGACTCCACATTTTCAGGCATCTTTATAGCATCGCCCCACTACTGACATCAATTTTTTTATTAGTCCATTCTCCCACTGCTATAAAGAACTACCTGACATTAAGTAATTTATAAAGAAAATAAGTTAATTAACTCACAGTTCCACAGGCTGTAGAGGAAGCATGGCTAGGAGGCCTCAGGAAACTTACAATCATGGTGGAAGGCAAAGGGGAAGCATGTACGTCTTACCATGGCATAGCAGGAGAGAGACAGAAAGAGAAGAGGGAGGTGCCACACACTTTTAAACCATCAGATATTGTGAGAACACACTTAATTATCATGAGAACAGCAAGGGGGAAATCCACCCCCATGATCCAATCACCTCCCACTTGGTCCCTCCCCTAACATGTAGGTATTAAAATTTGACATTAGATTTGGATGGGGACACAGAGCCAAACCATATCACCATCTCTACAAAAAAAATATAAAAATAAACATTAGCCAGGCATGGCAGCATGTGCTTATAGTCCCAGCTACTAGGGAGGCTGAGGCAGAGAATCACTAGAGCCCACAAGGTCAGGGCTGCAATGAGCCATGATTGCACCACTGCACTCCAGACTGGGTGACAGAGCAAGACTATGTCTCAAAAAGTAATAATAATAATAATAATAATAATAATAATAATAATAATAATCTGATACAACCACCATGGTGATGAATATACTTTCTTCTTGCATTCAATTGCAAAATAACTTTAACTCAAATAATTTGAGTTTGAGGATAGCCAACTTTAACATTCCAAAACGTTTCTTAGGCTTTCAAAATCCAGATTCTACTTGCTGATCCACCCAAAACAACAAAACTCTCTGGTGTGATGAGCGTATGTTTACAATTCTAAATTGAGCTTAACCAGGTTAATCTTTCAAAACTACTATAAAGATTTCTGTTCCAGGACTCACTCTACCTTCCAAGACTGGCTTCAAATGACAGTTTAAGTAGAATCAGTTTTGGAAGTTGCTTGCTTTTGGTTATAATTGGTGAGATAAAAATGTTGAGATGAAGTGAATGACATTAAGCCACAGAGAAATTGTAACACAAGAAGGACACTTGTTCTTCCCAGCCAGAGGCCTCTACACTCACTATTGGGCTATCACCTACACATGTTCACTGAACAGAATTTTCATTATTTAAAATCCTCCATGCAGACACATATTTTCCTGATCTAATAATTCTAACAAACTTCATTACACACCCAGGGGAATGGCTAAAATGAAAAAGATATATAACACCAAGTGTTAATGACAATGTGGAGAAACTGGAACTCTCATACTCTGCTTGCTGATGGAAGTCTAAAGCTATATGGCATCATCTACTAAAGCTTAAAACAAGACTAAGTCTATGATACAGCAATGCTATAGTCAACAAGAATTAGTGCATATGTGTACCAAAAGATACAAAGGCACACACATGACTGCTCACAGAGGCATCATTTAAAATAACCTAAATTAGAGACAACCCAAAGTCCATCAACAGCAGAAAGAGTAAGTGAACTTTGTTATATTCATACAATGGCATACTATGCAGCAATAAAAAGAATGAACTACTGCTACATGTAAAAACGAGGATGAATCTTACAGACATACTGATGAATAAAAGAAGCCAGATGCAAAAGACTACATATTCTGTGATTCTATTTAGATATAGGTCAGTAATAGGCAAACAAATACATAAATGTTAGATACATATTGTCCCTTGGCAGGTGGTAGTATCTAAAATGGGGTAAAAAGGGGGGCTTCTGCATGCTAATAATGTTGACCTAGTTGCTGGCTACACAGGCACAGGTGTATTTCCCTCACAAAAAAATCAGCGAAGTTGTATACTTATAATTTCTGCACTCATCTTTATAGTTCAATAAAAAATTAACAATCTAAATCAGTTACTTCAAAGCTCAAACCAAAAACTATGAATGCTTTATCCCATCAAAGCAAATAATACTAAAATAATACTACATCAACTAATATAAGCTATAATGAATAAAATTTGGGATTGTCACCTTACTGCTTTCTCTGTTAGCAGAGAAGTGGTTCACTGGCTACAAAAATGCAAATTCTTTACTTTTTTGAGTTTCTAGTGCTTCTCACTTTTAGCAGTCACCCCATTAATCCTCATAAATATACAACACACTAATGCCATCCTGTTGTAGCTGAATTATCTTATCATGATTTACATTTGCTTGTTTAAGAACAATATTGATATTTTTAAATAAAAAACATTTTATTGAATTTTAATATAAAATTTAGTTATCCCACTAATCAACTGAACACAAAAAGAAAGCATACAACTGATATCAAAAAAATAAAGCTTTTATTTGTATTAATTTCATGTTCTTTCATTATGTACTGGTAGGGACACACATTCATTATATGATGCAAGCTATTATTATATCTGAATTGCTTTTTCATCCAAGATAACAATCAGAGAGAGGCAGAGAGCAATTTTATTAAACACCATTTGAATGTTGAGTTTTCATTATTTGAATGCAGTACTGTTGAAGCAGTTGAATAAATGGGCAATGACTTATGCTGGAACATTATAAATATTTTTATTGACATATATATCATTTTCAAAGTTTAAGAGTAGGTTTTATAACTATGAAAAACTACCAGTTTGGCCTTTTATTCTTTGCTACAAAGGACTTCATTAGCTCCTTGTAAGAATGTATCACATGTGTCTAGTGCTATGAAAATATTTGAAGGCCTTCCAATAAAGACAAAGCTATATATAAAAGTTGGTTAGCACAAAACAAAATCAAGAACAATGCCACTATTTAAAATATCACCCTGGATTGCCAGAAACATATTCTGAATGCTTCCCATATCATTAGGAGAAATCTGATGGCATTTAGAAAAGGGATCCTGCCAAATAGCATCTAAAAGATACACAAAATGAGTTCAATGAGGTAAAAAGAGTGATTAGGGTTAAATCATTAGAACTGTGAAATATTTATTATTGTGAATATGACCCTGCTAAAATCTGTCAAATAAAATATAACTCGGCATGGGACAAGAACTTGGGACCTGCTGAATGGCAGGGTTGAAAGAGCTTTAACACAAACAGGGCTGAAACATGCCCCTTGCTCACCACATTGAGCGAGATAAGAAGGAGAGAAGAGCTGTGGCACTTCGGGGAGCCCAGACCTAGGAGCTCCTTGAGCCATGGCTGTGACAGTCTCTTTGGGGCTCTGTCATTCCTGACATCTCCAAGCTTGCAGTCACCACTGCATTCCTTGGTGTCAGCCATGAAAGCTGCTTGTGGTTAGGCCTGGTTCAGCCACAGCCTCACAGGGAGCCAGTGTCCATGCCAGTGCCTGGAGCTACCCACCCCACCGCAGCCATCATGCCCAGCCATGTGCAGTGGCCAGACCCCATGCTCACTCACTCACACACCCCTTGCCGCTCCACAGCTGGCTTCCCTTGCCATGTGTGAGATTCGGGCCAGTAGCACAAGCCCAGCACAGCCTGCCAGGCCAAATGGGTGGAACAAGAACAGTGGGCTCAAGTAAAAACTCGGGCAGAGGCGCCACCAGACACAGAGGTTTCTGGATGACAAAGCACACCCCAGGGATCCCATAACAATGTCATAGCTGTCGATGTGTCATGATTTAATACATTACTCACGTGTTTGTGGTGATGCTGGTGTAAAAAAACCTACTGTGCTGACAGTCCTATAAAAAGTATAACACATACAATTATTTACAGTACATGGTACTTGATAAAATAAAGGACTATGTTACTGGTTCATGTATGTATTATACTGTACTTTTTATCATTATTTTAGAGTGTACTCCTTCTACTTATTAAAAAAAAGTTAATGTAAAACAGCCCTAGGCAGATCTTTCAAGAAGTATTACAGAAGAAGGTATTGTTATTACAGGAGATGGCAGCCCTATGTGTGTTATTGCGCCAGAAGAACTTTCAGTGCAAGACAGTGACATTTATGATCCCAACCCTGTGTAGGCCTAGGCTCATGTTTATTTTTGTGTCTTAACTTTTAACAAGAAAGTTTAAACTGTTTTAAAAAATTAATAGGAAAAAGCTTATAGAATAAATATATAAAGAAAGAAAATATTTTTGTACAATTGTACAATGTGGTTCTGTATTAAGCTGTGTTATTACAAAAGGGTAAAACAGTTTTTTAAAAATATAGAAGTTCGTAAAGTAAAAAATTACAATAAGCTAAGGTTAATTTATTATTCAAGAAATAAACTCTTTAAAGTAAAATTGGTGTAGTCTAAATGTAGTGTTTGTAAAGTCTACAGTAATGTCTTAGGACTTCACATTCACTCACCACTCCTTCACCAACTTACCCAGTGTGACCTGCAGTCCACATATTGTTCATGGTGCCCTATATACATGTGCCATTTTCTATCTTTTATGCCATATTTTTACTGTACCTTTTCTATGTTTAGGTGTGTTCAAATTCACAAATAGCATAGTGTTGCAATTGTCTACAGTATTCAGTACAGTAACATGCTGTACAGGTTTATAGCTTAAAAGGAATAGGCTGTAAAATATAGCCTAGGTGTGTCATAGGCTATTTCATTGAAATTTGTGTAAGTGTACTGTATAACCCTAGCACAATGACAAAATTGCCGAATTATGCATTTCTTAGAATGTATCCCCATCAATAAATGATGCATGACTGTATATTAAATATATAACGTATGGGCTTGTGTTAACAATTTTGTTTTCAGCTTCAGAGTTATTTTATTCACTTCTTTATTCATGTATTCATTCAATAAGCACTTATGTGTCCACAATGTACAAGACGTTGCTGTTTGAGGATACAAACACAAATAAGACATAGTTCTTGTCCTGGTGCTTAAATCCAGTGGGAAAGTCAAACAAGCAAAACCATTATCAAACAGCTTAATAGGTGCTGTATAGAAATATGGAAAGTGTTGTGCGGATTTAGTATCCCTTATCTATATTTTTTTTTTTGAGATGGAGCCTTGCTCTGTCACCCAGGCTGGAGTGCAGTGGCACGATTTGCCTCACTGCAACCTCCACTTCTCAGGTTCAAGTGATTCTCCTGACTCAGCCTCCTGAGTAACTGGGATTACAGGCACCCACCACCATGCCCAGCTAGTTTTGTATTTTCAGTAGAGATGCTGTTTCGCCATGTTGGCCAGGCTGGTCTCGAGCTCCTGACCTCAGGTAATCTACCCACCTTGGCCTCCCAAAGTGCTGGGATTACAGGTGTGAACCACCATGCCCAGCCTAGTATCCCTTACCTAAAATGCTTGGGAACAGAAGTTTTTTGAATTTCAGATTATTTTGGATTTTGGAAGATTTTCAGATACATAATGACATATCTTGAGGAGGGGTCCCAAGTCTAAACATGGAATAATGTTTCATATTCACCTAATACACATAGCCTTAAAGTAATTTTCTAGAGTATTTTAAATAATTTTGTGCATGAAACAAAGTTTTTGTACATTGAACTATCAGAAAGCAAAGGCGTTACTACCTCTGCTACCCATGTGGCATCATGTTAGTACTCAAAGTTTCAGCCAATGGAACATTTTGTATTAGCTCCAAAGTTAGCAGAGAAGGAGGTCATCTAATTATGACTGAGCAGCAACATCCCAGCAAATGTGCTATTTCTGAAAAATATGAATGCATGACCTAGGTGAAGATGGAAGGTAAGCGGGGAAACGCATGTGTAAAGACGTGAAATAGCAAGAAGTACTGTATAGCTGTACATGGAGGTCAGTATAGTTTCAGCGTGGGCTGATGACAGAAAATGGTGGAATACTAGACAAGACATCAAGGTAAACCAAAGATTTAAAACTTTATTATGAAAGCCCAGCCTCTACAGTTATAAATCATGCTGATAGTATGTACCCTTGACATGATGTGATGAAAATGGTCTTTCTCCCATAACCCATAAACCCAGGCTTATCATCAGAAAAACATCAGACAAATTCTATTGAGGAATATTCTAAAAAATACCTGACCAGTACTCAAAACTGTAAAGGTCATCAAAAACAAGGCAAATCTGAGAAACTGCCACAGACAAGAGCAGCCTAGAAACATGACAACTAAATGGAATGTGGTATCCTGGATGAAATCACAGAACAGGAAAAGGACATTAGGTAAAAACTACGGAATTCTGAATAAAGTATAAACTTTAGTTAATACTAAAGTACAAATATTGGGCTGGGCGCAGTGGCTCATGGCTATAACCCTAGCACCTTGGGAGGTCGAGGCGGGCAGATAGCTTGAGCCCAGGAGTTCCAGACCAGTCTGGGCAACTTGGCGAAACCCTATCTCTACAAAACATACAAAAATTAGCAGGCATGGTGGTGCACACACATAATCCCAGCTATTCAGGACGCTGAGGTGGGAGGATCACTGGAGTCGGGAAGGAAGAAGTTGCAGTGAGCCGAGATCGCACCACTGCACTCCAGCCTGGGTGGTAGAGCAAGACTCTGTCTCAAAAAAAAAAAATTAAATTAAAATATAAATAAAGTAGAAATATTAGCTCATTAATTATAAGAAATTTACCATATTAATTTAAGATGGTAACAATAGGGGAAGCTAGGTACAGGATATATGAGAATTCTCTGTACTTCTAAATTTTTCTGAAAATCTATAACTGTCCTAAAAATAAGTCTATAAAAATGGGGTTGGGGGTGACCAGTGTAATATTTTGGTAGAGAGTAGTATGTGTTTAGAGAATATTGAGTATTTCAGATTAATTTGTATGCAGAGTTCATATCATAAAGTAATGTTAGCTGAAATTATAGAAAGAATACCAATTGTTGTAGATCAGCTTGAAGCTTCTCAAAATACATCAAATTATATTTAGTCTTCTTGATGTGGTCACCACTCATTCCATATGCACATGTCACTGTCCAAGGGTTTCAAAGGGGGCAATGTGTGCCATGTTTTTAAATCCTCTTCATTCAAAGTGCAATGTCTCCTTAGTTTATCTCTGTGAAAAGTACATTACAAAGTGAAAGATAAATGCAGAGAGATGTTTATCTACTATCCTGAACCATAAACACCTACAATGAGGAACTGCTCATCCTCCATTTTCCAATAAAGCATTTCCTCTACAAAGTCTCTGATATGGTTTGGCTCTGTGTCCCCTCCCAAATCTCATCTTGAATTGTACTCCCATAATTCTCACGTGTTGTGGGAGGGACACGGTAGGAGATTATTTGAGTCACAGGGGCAGTGTCCCCCACACTGTTCTCATGGTAGTGAATAAGTCTCACGAGATCTGATGGTTTTATCAGGGGTTTCTGCTTTTGCATCTTCCTCATTTTCTCTTGTTGCCACCATGTAAGAAGTGCCTTTTGCCTCCTGCCACAATTCTGAGGCCTCCCCAACCATGTGGAACTGTAAGTCCAACTAAACCTCTTTTTCTTCCCAGTCTCGGGTATGTCTTTATCAGCAGCGTGAAAATGGACTAATACAGTCTCCCTCTAGTCTACCTGAAACTCTCCCAGAGACACAACTTTCTTTATTTCTCTAGGTTTATCCTCATTACTATCTTTCACCCTAGAGCAGATGAGATTAACTCTTGCCGTAAGTTGGGATTTCAAGTCCCAACCTGGAAACCAGTTTAAATGGATGGTCCAAAAGAGTTGCATTCTTGGTAACTCTGAAAATAGTTCAAAATTCCAACTCACCACATCAACTAGTTGGTGTTAATAACTAGGCAAATGAATTGAAGTAGGCTTGTCTTTGGTATCTTTTCTTTCTTTCTTTTTTAACTTGTATTTTAGGTTCAGGTGTACATGTGCAGGTTTGTTATATAGGTAAACTTGTGTCATGGGGTTTGTTGTACAGAATTTTTCATGACTCAGGTACTAAGCCTAGTATCCATTAGTTATTTTTCCTGATCCTCTCCCTCCTTCCACCCTTCACCCTCCTATAGACCCAGTGTGTATCGTTCCTCTCTATGTGTCCACATGTTCTCATCATTTAGCTCCCACTTATAAGTGAGAACAAGCAGTATTTGCTTTTTCTGTTCCTGCATTAGTTTGCTAAGGATAATGACCTCCAGCACCATTCATGTTCCTGGAAAGGATGTGATCTCATTCTTTTTTATGGCTGCATAGCATTCCATGGTGTATATGTACATTTTCTTTATCCAGTCTACCACTGATGGACATTTAGGTTGATTCCATATCCTTGCTATCGTAAAAAGTTCTGCAATGAACATACATGTGCATGTGTCTTTATGATCGAATAATTTATATTCCTTTGGGCATACATCCAGTAATGAGATTGCTGGGTTGAATGATAGTTCTACTTTTAGCTCTCTTAGGAATTACCACATTGCTTTCCACAATACTTGAACTCATTTAGATTCCCACCAACAGCGTATAAGCATTCCCTTTTCTCCTCAACCTTGCCAGTATCTGTTTGTTTGTTTGTTTACTTTTTAAGTAGCCATTCTGACTGGTGTGAGATGGTATCTTGTTACGGTTTGCATTTCTCTAATAATTATTGATATTTAGCTTTTTTTCATACGCTTGTTGGCTGACGTATGTCTTCTTTGGTAAAGTGTTCATTCATGTCCTTTGCCCTCTTTTTAATGCAGTTGTTTGTTTTTCTCTTGTAAATTTAAGTTTCTTATAGATGCTGGATACTAGACCTTTGTCAGATGCATAGTACATGAATATTTTCTCCCATTCTATAAGTTGTCTGTTTACTTTGTTGATGGTTTCTTTTGCTGTGCAGAAGTTTTTTAATTAAATTCCATTTGTCAATTTTTGCTTTTGTTGCAATTGCTTTTGGTGTCTTTGTCATGAAATCTTTGCCAGTTTCTATATCCAGAATGGTATTGCTTAGGTTGTCTTCCAGGGTTTTTACAGTTTTGGGTTTTACATTTAAGTCTTTATTCCATCTTCAGTTGATTTGTGTATATGTTATCTTTTCAAGATCGTCAACTTGATTTTTCCCAATTGGCCTGCTCTCTACTGGTCATCTAGAGTCAACATGCCCAGGGTTGCTTGTGTACAATGGCACACCATCTAGGCCTACCCTCAAGAATCTATCAGCATTTTGCTCCTTTCCCAAACACACACCCCCACTGGAGAAGCTGAAAGTCTGTTTGCAGGAGATGTTCCAACTTTACCTGGAGCTGAGTCAAGTTAGAGAGCCAAGCTGAGCGAAATACAGGGGTGGAGAAGGCAGCAGGGAGGCCCTGGGAGCTCACCAACCCCCCAGGCAACCCATTCCTGCCTGGCACCACAGGGATCCATCAGGAGGGAGGCCAGAGGACAAGGGGTAAAACCCCACAGGGGAGAAGGACTTCCCTAGCTGAACTTTGTAACAATTTGAGCGGGATGAAAAGCCTCTTGGTCAGAACTCAGGGGAGGGTGTGAATCCAGCTTGCAGACTTCACAGGCAGGGGAAGAACTAAAGCCCTTTTCTCTCACAGCTGGGTGGCAGAAAGCCTCGGGCAAGTTTTTAAGCCTGCCCTCCACCTGGAAACAGACTTGGGGTTGTTGCAGGTGGCACGGTGGGAGTGAGACCAGGCCTTCGGTGGATTTTCTCCACTTCCCTGACAACCTGCATGACTCAGCAGAGGCAGCCATAATCCTCCTAGGTACACAACTCCAGTGACCTGGGAATCTCACCCCCACCCCCCACAGCAGCCACAGCAAGACCTGCCCAAAGAGAGTCTGAGTCCAGACACACCTAGCCCCGCCCCTACCTAATGGTCCTTCCCTACCCACTCTGGTAGCCGAAGACAAAGGACATATAATCTTGGGAACTCTAGGGCTCTGCCCACTGACAGTCCCTCTCCACACTACTACAGCTGATGCTTTTTGGAAAGTGCCACCTCCTGGCAGGTGGTAAACCAGCACAAAAATAGAGCATTAAACCACCAAAGCTAAGAACCCTCAGTTTGAATGACAATAATGACACAACCTATGAAAACCTCTGGGATACAGCTAAGGCAGTGCTAAGAGGAAAGTTCATAGCCCTAACGCCTACATCAAAAAGTCTGAAACAGGACAAACAGACAATCTAAGGTCATGCCTCAAAGAACTGGAGAAACAAGAACAAACCAAACCCAAACCTAGCAAAAGAAAGGGAATAACCAAGATCAGAGCAGAACTAAACAAATTGAAATTTTTAAAAGTACAAAAGATAAATGAAACAAGAAGCTGGTTCTTTGAAAAGATAAATAAGATTGATATATCATTTGCAAGATTAACCTAAGGAAAAAAGAGAGAAAATTTAAATAACCTCACTGAGAAATGAAATAGGAGATATTACAACTGACAACACTGAAATACAAAAGATCATTCAAGGCTACTATGAACACCTTTATGCACATAAACTGGAAAACCTAGAAGAGGTGGATAAATTCCTGGAAAAAACAACCCTCCTAGCTCAAATCAGGAAGAATTACATACCCCGAACAGACCAATAAGAAGCAGTGAGGTTGAAATGGTAATTTAAAAATTACCAACAAAAAAAGTCCAGGACCAGACAGGTTCACAGCAGAATTCTACCAGACATTCAAAGAAAAATTGGTACTAATCCTTTTGACACTATTCCACAAGAGAGAGAAAGAAGGAACCCTCCCTAATTCATTCTACGAAGCCAGCATCACCCTAATACCAAAAGCAGGAAAGGACACAACTAAAGAAGGAAACTACAGACCAATATCCTTGATGAACATAGATGCCAAAATCCTTAACAAAATACTAGCTAACCGAATCCAACAACATATCAAAAAACATATCAACCACAACATATCAAAAACCAACCACCATGATCAAGTGAGTTTCATCCCAGGGATGCAGGGATGGTTTAACATATGCAAGCCAATAAATGTGATTCACCACATAAACAGAATTAAAAACAAAAATCACGTGATCATCTTAAAGGATGCAGAAAAAGCATTCGACAAAATCCAGCATCCCTTTCTGAAAAAAACCCTCAGCAAAATCAGCATACAAGGGACATACCTTAATGTAATAAAAGCTATCTAAGACAAACCCACAGCCAACATAATACTGAATGGGAACAAGTTGAAAGCATTCCCCCTGAGAACGGGAACATGACAAGGATGCCATTCTCACCACTCCAACATAGTACTGGAAGTCTTACCCAGAGAAATCAGACAAGAGAAAAAGATAAAGGGCATCCAAATCAGTAAAAAGGAAGTCAAACTGACCCTCTTTGCTGACAATATGATTGTTTACCTTGAAAACCCTAAGGACTCCTCCAGAAAGCTTCTAGAACTGACAAAAAAATTCAGCAAAGTTTCTGGATACAAGATTAACGTACACAGATCAGTAGCTCTTCTATATACCAACAATGACCAAGCAGAAAATCAAATCAATAACTCAACCCCTTTCACAATAGCTGCAAAAAAAAAAAAAATACTTAGGAATATACCTCACAAAGGAGTCAAAAGACCTCTACAGGGAAAACTACAAAACACTGCTACCAGAAATCATAGATGACACAAACAAATGGAAACATATCCATGCTTATGGATGGGTAGAATCAATATTGTGAAAATGACCATACAGCCAAAAGCAATCTGCAAATTCAATGCAATCCTCATCAAAATACCACCATCATTCTTCACAGAGTTAGAAAAAACAATTGTAAAATTCATGTGGAACCAAAAAAGAACTTGGATAGCCAAAGCAAGACCGAGCAAAAAGATCAAAACTGGAGGCATCACACTACCTGATTTCAAACTATACTATAAGGCCATAGTCACCAAAATGGCATGATACTGGCAGAAAAATAAGCACATAGACCAATGGAACAGAATAGAGAATCCAGAAATAAATCCAAATACTTACAGCCAACTGATCTTCGACAAAGCAAACAAAAACATAAAGTGAGGAAAGGATACCCTTTTCAACAAATGGTGCTGGGATAACTGGCTAGCCACATGTAGGAGAACGAAACTGGATCCTCATCTCTCATCTTACACAAAAATCCACTCAAGATGGATTAAGGACTTAAACCTAAGACCTAAAACTGTAAAAATTCTGGAAGATAAAATCAGAAAAAAACCCTCTAGACATTGGCATAGGCAAGGAGTTCATGACCAAAAAGCCAAAAGCAATTGCAATAAAAACAAGGATAAATAGCTGGGACCTAATTAAACTAAAGAGTTTTTGCACAGCAAAAGGAACAGTCAACAGAGTGTACAGACAACCCACAGAATAGGAGAAAACCTTCACAATCTTTACATTTGACAAAGGACTAATATCCAGAATCTACAACTAACTCAAACAAATCAGTACGAAAAAAAACAATCAATCGCATCAAAAAGTGGGCTAAGGACATGAATAGACAATTCCCAAAAGAAGATACACAAATGGCCAAAAAATACATGAAAAAATGCTCAACATCACTAATAATCAGGAAAATGCAAATCAAAACCACAATATAATACCTCCTTACTCCTGTAAGAATGGCCATAATCAAAGAATCAAAAAACAGTAGATGTTGGCGTAGATGCGATGATCAGGGAACACTTCTACACTGCTGGTGAGGATGTAAACTAGTACAGCCACTATGGAAAACAGTGTGGAGATTTCTTAAAGAACTAAAAGTAGAACCACCATTTGATCCAGCAAACCCACTACTGGGTTTTCTTTTTTCTTTTTTTTTTTTCCTCTTTACCCAGAGGAAAAGAAGTCATTATTTGAAAAAGATACTTGCATACACATGTTTACTGCAGCACAATTCACAATAGCAAAATCGTGGAACCAACCAAAATGCCCTTCAATCAACGAGTGGATAAAGAAACTCTGATATATATGTATGTACATATACAGCATTTGCAATGACCAGGATGAGATTAGAGACTATTATTCTAAGTGAAGTAACTCGGGAATCGAAAACCAAACATCGTATGTTCTCACTGATATATGGGAGCTAAGCTATGAGGACACAAATGCATAAGAATGATACAATGGACTTTGGAGACTTGGGGGTAAGAGTGGAAGGGGGCGAGGAATAAAAGACTGCAAATATGGTGCAGTGTGTACTGCTCGGGTGATAAGTGCACCAGGTTCTCACAAATCTCCACTAAAGAACTTACTCATGTAACCAAATACCACCTGTACCTCAATAACTTATGGAAAAATAAAATTAAAAAAATAATAAATAATAAGGATTTGGAAAAAAAGAAATCAGCATTGCATTACTGACTGGCTCAAAAACAAAGATTATTCTAGGTAAAAGAATACATGTTTTAAATGTATTTAAGTTGGTTTTAAATGTAACT
The DNA here is from genome assembly GCF_000001405.40 of Homo sapiens. Taxonomy (NCBI): domain Eukaryota; kingdom Metazoa; phylum Chordata; class Mammalia; order Primates; family Hominidae; genus Homo; species Homo sapiens. Next base: position 86,227,835 of record NC_000023.11, on the reverse strand, counting down.
TTCTTTAAGTCAGGTTAAATATTGTTAGTGTTTTTCAAATGATGGGTTGATCCTCTTTAGTAATTGTTTATTAAAATAATTTAGTAGGTTGTGACCAGCATTTTTTTTAAAAGAAGAATAGCATAGGACAGGAAATAGAAGGGAAAAGAAAGGAAGGGTGCAATGTAAGTGGTAGTAAGGGCTACTAAATTTGAAAACTTAAAAAAAAAAAAAGAATCTATCAGCATTTTAACAGAGGTGTGAATGCCAAGATGGGCGAGGGGGTTGCCTAATGCTGGGAATTTCAAGAAACAAGCTAGCTCATGGGAAGGGACAAATATTTTTGGTTGAATGAGTACCTTTTGATGTTCTTCAAAGACTACCATAGAGAGTATGGCTGAAAGAATGATTAACATAAACAGGAACAATACAAAATAAAGAAAATTTTGTATCATTTGGTGGTGAGATAAATAAAACCAAGTAAAGAAATTGAGTAAACATACCAAAGGGTACAGGGACAAACACTCTTTATACAAGTAGAAAACTAAGTCCTTGTAAACCAGCATGGCATATTTCATGTATCCCTAATCGGTAGTAAAAAGGCAAACACATGAATAACAGTGTCAAAAACACATGAAAGATAATTTACACATCATAAAACCCGTTTCATATTATTGTGCTTGGCTTAAAATGAATATTGGTGTTGGGCACATAGGATATGTCCAATAAATGTAAACCAGTATTTTTAAGTGCCTAATAATTTCATCCATTAAATTATTTTCATAGTAAATATATTTGAAAGAATACTAATCTTGAAAGAGTGGGTAGGATATTACTTTTCTCCCAAATGAAATGACTAAACTTATAACTAAAAGACAAGGACAAAAATTTTCAAAAAATAAGGTATTTTTATTTTTATAACAGGATTTGTATCTAGTTAGTGTTAAAAGTATATTTTAATAGGAAATTAGTGTTATTTGCCAATGACATTATATTCACACTATAATATGTATTAGATTATTTGGAGTAAACAATATGCAAATTTTTTCACACACAACATATGATAAATAAAGACATATTAGAAGCACAAGGTATCCATATATACAACTTCTTAATTTGGAATACTTGGCTTTTCTTTGTTTACATATCATAACACCAGGAGAAAGAAATAAAAATGCAGAATTCCAAATGGACTTGTGATTTTGTAAAGAAATTTGGACCTTTTTTGCTAGTATTTTTCTCTTGCAAAAATTGCCTTACATAAAAACTGTATAAAAGTAATGCAACTCTAGATGGAGACTTTAATCTCTAGTTACTTCCATAAGAGAAGGCTAGATCAGAGAGTATAATTTCCCGGTATCATACAGCTTATCTCTTGTGTTGACAAAAGAAAGACTCATGTTATTTTTTTCTTAGACAAATGTGATCCCAACCTGATATGACACTTTTTTTTTCAGCTGTGTAACAACACTGTAAAACCAGGTACTTTTTTCCACTTCATTATACTAATTCATGAAACTTTTGCATTGATAGCTGCAAGCTTCCAGACATTTAAAAGTCCTTTTCTGTTCACTGAAAGAAGATACAGTCACATAGACGAATACTTTTTAAAACTGAATTATAAATAGCCTATCATTTGACTTTTTTACACGTTCAAAACTGCCTTCATTTTTATAGCGTTCTCAGGAAAACTTCTGAACAGTCCTGAAAGAAATACCAATTTTGACTTTCACAATGCTTTTCCTTCTCATGTCTGTGTTCAATAAGTGTACTTTTTAGGAGAACATTAGTTATTTCACTTCTAACATGATGTTTCTCAGAGAGGGGTAAGAATTGTGCTTCCTCCTTTTTTCAACTGTGAATACTCATCAGTTAAAACAATTTGAGAATCCAAATCTTTGGCATCCTGTTCTAGTACCTGCTAGCTACAGAATTTTGCACCAAAGCTCTGAATTTATAGCCTTCATTTGGCCATCATGGCATTCAAAACCCTGGCTTTATCTGCCACATAGATATGAATAACAAAAAGAGACAGAGTATGGCTATTGTGCCTTCAAAGAAAAGCAATAACCCATTCTGCTTGCTCTACTTCATGTTCTTTAACTCATTTTATTTCATTTTAACTACCCAGAACAATTTCACCAGCCATTAGCCTGGAATGAAATCTTACAAAGGAAGACTGTTGTTATCAAGATGGGTCCCAACACTCCCTCCCTCTCCCTTTCATATGTTTTGGGGCAAATAAGCTACTTTTTAGCTATAGACTTTTTTTTTAAAGGAGAAACCTTGTGAAGCAAAAGATAATCACATTTCAGATCCACTTTAAACAACTTCAAAATAATATCCACTGAGAAGAATTTTGTGTCACATTTTGAGACACTTTATGCAAAAAAGAATTAACAGGGGAAAATCTCTTTGGTAAATTCTAAAACTAGGTAATTCCCAGGATAAATTTGAAATACAAAAATCCTAAGCCACTAATTACCAGAGTCATGAAAATAAGCTGGATCAAGAATTTAAAAAATATAAACTCCTGGCTTCCAAATGTGGTAATGGTAGAGAATGAGTACCTTATGAATTTGAATTGAAACAAAATCTCAACAAAATTATGTATTGGAACATGAATCTGAAATGATATATCTAAGTTCACTTCACTGCTCAACGCAAGTGATCAGCATATTTAGATATACAAACTAGCTCTCATTTTAGAGTGTTCATCAATTTAGATATACAAACTAGCTCTCATTTTAGAGTGTTCATCAATTTTTAATTGAGTACATGCAAAATAATTTTAATAAAAAATATTAATGCCAGGGCTCGCAAATAAATGAAGAGCAAGTTATCTCTGACTCTCTTAACAAGGAACATTTCCATTTCCTGTCAGCATTGCCAGCTCTAACCAATCATTTAGAAGCTCACTCAAGACTACTGCTAAAGCTAGGAATGGACTCTCCAAGTATTGTGGGGAAAAAATTGAGCAGGGGTTGCATTAGAAACAACAAAGCAGCTCTGTTGAGTAAACACACCATTTGTGATGCCAATAATGGGGAAACTCTATAGGCTTTCTTGATGATCATGCATTTTCCTGTTCTTAAGCTGTGTAAAATGATTTCATATTAAATCATCATTTCAGGAATAGGATTAAAAGAATGATGAACTAGTTTAAAAAAATCCTGCGTTCTCAGCATTTCACAAAATTTCTTCCTCTTTATGTTTTTGTGATATACACAAATTTTACATCCCAATAAAATATAAGAACAATCCTGATTTCAAAAAAAAAACTGTCATGTGCCACCTCACTAAGTTATTAGCAGCCATTCCAAATAAAAGAATAGGGATGGCTATTAATCTTATTCTGAAATTTCTAAGTAATTTGGGTCATTTACCGTTATTGTTACGATTCAGTGTGGAAGGTGCGGGCTTGTGATTAATAAGGGACAATATGCACATGCATCAGTGTTAACCATCAGATAATGTGGAACATGCTTTTCAGCTAAGAGATAGTGGACACACTAGCCAACACAGGCACAAGAATGAAATAAATTCCCATGATGCTCCTGAATATATTTGTTTTTTAAAACATATGACCAACGCTTCACAAAAACACATGCTCTTAAATAACATCTTCAAGTTGCACGCAATTCTAGATAAATATGCATATCTCCTCCCATTTTCAGTTTCCAAGTGAAAAAAAAAGCTGACATGAATAAACTTGAAAATTCACATTATTTTTTAATGACAGCCTTCCTTTCTGCAGGAAAGGGCAAAGACCAGATCAATAGCCCCAGAGGCAAAACAGAAATGACATTCAAAAAATGGAGAAGAGACTGATGGAGAAAGTTATGAAACTAGAATTTCAAAGAGAACCCTCTTTGATAAATGAAGAATCACCTTTCCATGTCACTAAGACATACAAGCTATACACCAAGTTTCTACTTCTCAAGAGATGGTCAGCACCTAAAAAGGAGAACATCAGTAGAATATTCAGTGCTTTAGAATGTATACACAACAGAAGATAACCACAACCCCAACAACAGTCAAATGAACAGCAAAGGCTATTTCTCCTTAAAGCTCAGATCTATCTCTGTTCCTCTGTCAGGGAGACAAACTGTGATGTCCTTTTCGGTTTGGACCTTCTCTTGAAAACGGAATTTGTCAGGATGATCTATGAGCTAATGATAAGCTCGTCATCATAAAGACATCTTCCAATTCCGTTTTCTGGTGTAAGAAAGAGGGTTTTGTTTAATCTAGCACCAAATAAATTATGAAAAGAAAAAAGGATGTTCATTACTATACATACACACAAAATGCTATATATTTACTTACATAATATACATAATTATGTGAGATTACTTATAGGCACAAAAATTCAGAGTATCCCTATGTTCAAGTAGTGGAATATATTGCTGGAACATCATGCAAATGTAGGAGATTTAACAAAAAGGGAATAATGCTAAAATTTAAAGACACCAAGAAAAACCAAAATCTGTATGTATAAAAGAAAACCTACCTTTTTGAGGTTTGATGTAAAAGGAAGCAGCATTCTCTAGTAAAGACATTATATTACATATGAAACATACAAAGCTAGCAATGTGATTACACTTTAATTTCTTATAATGGACAGGGTAAGTAGCAGTAATGCAGAGGCCTATAATTGAATAGCAGTGAGGTATTAATGAGCTCTTACTGTTTACAAACCAGTGAATTACTAACTCATCCATGACTTACATTATAGCCATTTAATAGCATGCATATTTGGAAATACCCTTCACTTTGTAAGCAGAAGCTGTAGGTATTTGGTTTTTTGGTTTTTGAGGCAGGTTTACATTGCATCATAACCCAATGTTTGTACCTTCTTCCCTAGATATTAAACTTTTCTCTCTGCTTTCACACATACTCCTTTTTATTGTACATTTTGAAGTATATTCTTCCTCTGTTTGTCATTTTCAACTTTGGCCCTTACTAATTGTACTCCCTTTATATGAGGGTGAGGTAATTTCCCTTCTTTCTTTCATGCCACTTTCTCATACTTTTCCCCTCCTTCCCAAGCTCTCCTGATTGGTGGCTATTTTCCTTGATTCAGATCTCTCAGTTAAGTAGCCTGCTTTGTGTCCCATTTCCTAGTACTGCATTTTCTTCATTAAGTTTCCTTTTAGCACCCTGGTGTAAATTGTGAAATTAAGTCTGCCTTTTGAGGGTCCCCAACCACCATTTTACTGCCAGATACACTCTCCCAGTACTAGTTCTAGTCTTAACTGCTGTCCCTGAATGCCTAAGTCCTCCCACCCAATAACTGACTCCATGCCCCAGAACTCTCAATATCTAGTCCCAATATATTTGTTTTGTACCCAATTCCCAAAGGAATCTACTTGCTACTACATAATACCTACCTTGAGCCCTGCCTTGTATTCTTGTATCTTAGGTTATTTGCTCATGTGCTGCTGTTAAGCTAGATCTTGCCGATTCTGTATTTCTAAAATGGTTTCTGGAATATATGTGCAGATCCTTACTTTTATACAGCACAGGTCATCTTCTAGAACTGACCCATTACTCCAGCCTGTCAAAATCTAAAGCAATACTTTCCAGAGAAAGCCCATCCTGCTAATATTTGAGTGGATTGAGAGATTCCTCTTCACATATTTTAATCCAATTTAATGCATTTCTATTATTTTCGTGTACAGCAATTGTATCTTAAATAAGAGTTTACGGGGCACTATAGACTAAATCGTGTTTCCCAAAAATTAATATGTTGAAACCCTAACCCCCAATGTGAAAGTATTTGGAAACAGAGTCTTTAAAGAGGTAACTAAGGTTAAGCAAAATCATAAGAATGGTGGCTCTAATCCAAAATGGCTGTTGTCCTTATTAAGAGGAATAGACATGAGAGGTCTCTCTCTTTCTCTCCCAGCATGTACACACAGAGGAAAAGCCGTGTGAGGATACAGCAAGAAGGCAGCCATCTGCAAGCTAAGGAGAAAGGCCTCAATAAAAATTAAACCTGCCCAACACCTTGACCTTGGACTTCCAGCCCCCAGAACTGTGAGAAAATTAAATTCTATTTGTTTATGACACCCAGTCTGTGGTGCTTTGTTAAGGCAGCCCTAGCAAACTAATGCGCCTGGCTTTATGGATCTACCATTGCTCCAGTTTGCTATTTATGTCACTAAACATGAATATAAATACACTAACTGTTGGATGGCAGGGATCATAAATTCAGTTTCTGAGAGATTTAATGTTACACCCATCAAAATCCAAATGGCATTTTTATAGAGATAAAAAATTCTAAAATTCATGTGGAACCACAAAAGTCAACTGTTTAGCCAAAGCAGTCTTGACAAAAAAAAGAACAAAGCTGATGGCCTCACATTTCCTGATTTCAAAATGTATTACAAAGCTATGATAATTAAAACAGGATGGCACTAGCATAAAGACAGAGATATAGACAAATAAAACAGAATAGAGAGCTCAGAATTAAACCCATGCATATATGATTAACTGATCTTCAATAAGAGTTTTAAGAATACACAGTAGGGAAAAGATAGTCTCTTCAACAAATAATGTTGGGAAAACTGAATAACCACACATAAAAGAATGAAATTGGATCCTTATCTTACATCATACACAAAAATCAAATCAAAATGGATTAAATACTTAAACAGAAGATTTAAAGCTATAAAACTCGTAGAGGAAAACATAAAGGAAAAGCATCATGGAATTGGTCTTGGCAATGATCTCCTGGAAATAACACTAAAAGCACAGGCAACAAAAACAAAAACAGACAAGCAGAACTACATCAAACTAAAAAGCTTTGCCACAGCAAAAGAAACAATCAACAGAGTGAAAAGTTGACCTATAGAAAGGGAAAAAATATAAAAAGGTGTTCAACATCACTAATCATCAGGGAAATGCACATCAAAACCACAATTAGATATCACCTCACACCTGTTAGGATGGCTATTAATTTTTATAAAAGATAACAAGCATTAGCAAGGATGTGAAGAAATTGTAATCCTTATACACTACAATGGATATTTAAAATGGTACATTTACTGTGGAAAACAGTATGGAGGTTCTTCAAAAAATTAAAAATAGTACTACCACATGATTCAATAATCACTTCTGTGTATATATTCAAAAAATTACAATCAGCATCTTGAAAATATATCTGCACTCCCAGGTGCATAGCAGTACTATACACAACAGCCAAAACACGAAGACAACCCAAATATTCTTTAATGTACAAATGGATAAAGAAAATGTGGTATACACATACAATAGAAGAGTATTCAGCCTTAGAGAAGAAGGAAATTCTGCCATTTGTTACAACACAGATGAACCTAGAGGACATTATGCTAAGTAAAACAAGCCAATCATAGGAAAAATCCTGCATAATTTCACTTATATGAGGTACCTAAAACAGAAAAGTTCACAGAAGCAGAGAGTAGAATGGTGGTTGCCAAGGTTTGAGGGAAGTGGGAAATGGGGAATTGTTCCAAAGCCATAAAGTTTCAGTTATGCATGATGAATATATTCTAGCAATCTGTTGTACCACATAGTGCCTATAGTAAACAATAATGCATTATACACTTAAAAATGTAAGATGGCAGATATCATGTGAAGTGTTCTAAACACACATGCACACATGCACAACAAAGGGGAGGGAAATTTTTTTTTTTTTTTTTTTTTTTTTTGAGATGGAGTCTCATTCTGTCACCCAGGCTGGAGTGCAATGGCACGATCTCGGCTCACTGCAACCTCCGCCTCCCAGGCTCAAGCAATTCTCCTGCCTCAGCCTCTTGAGTAGCTGGAACTACAGGCATGCACCACCACGCCCGGCCTTTTTTTTTTTTTTTTGTATTTTTAGTAGAGATGGGGTTTCTCCATGTTGGTCAGGCTAGTCTGGAACTCCTGACCTCAAATGATCCTGCCCGCCTTGGCCTCCCAAAGTGCTGGGATTACAGGTGTGAGCCACCGCTCCCGGCCAGGAGAAAACTTTTGGAGGTGATGGATAAATGTATTACCTTGATTGTAGTTATGTTTTCATGGGTGCATGTGTTCAAATCCATCAAATTATACATATTAAATATGTGCAGTTTTTGTGTAACTATTATACCTCAGTAAAGCTGTTTATATACATATATGCAGATATGCAAACTAAAAAGCTTTTGCACATCAAAGGAAACAATCAACAGAGTGAAAAGACAACCTATGTAATGGGAGAAAATATTTTCAATGTACATATGCACAGATTTATTACGTTATATATAATAAAATGTTGTGTTAAATAATTATTTCCATAATTCATGTTTCAACTTATCAATCATTACTATTTAAAAGCATTGTTCATACAAAGAAGGGAACAAGAGACACTGGGGTCTACTTGAGGGTGGAGGGTGGGAGGAGGGAGAGGAGCAGAAAAGATAACTATTGGGTACTGGGCTTAATGCCTAGGTGATGAAATAATCTGTACGATAAACCCCCATGACACATTCACCTATAAAACAAACATTCACATGTACCATTGAAGCTAAAATAAAAGTTTTTAAAAAGTGGTTTAGTCACAATCTTTTTGCACTAAACCAACATAATAGAAAAAAAAAATTTCATGGAAAATTCCCTAGAGACCATAAACCCTCTTCTGTGAAGTTGATACCAGGTGAATCTATTTTCTATGAAGTGTTCGCACTTAAAGGTAATACATAAATACAGACCTAACATTCTAAATGCATCAACTCACGTTCTGAATTTGTATACATGGTTCATTAGAAAACTAACATTTAGTAGTCATAGTACCAATTATTACTAAAATTATGTATTAAAAGAAAAGCTATAAAAATGGATCAGACATCTTCTATCCATTGTGTATTTGGTGGACATTCAAACTATTTCCTAGGCTTTATCAGGATATTAAAGAAGAAATGAGAGAAGATCAACCCTGTATGTATTTCTTTAAATATTCTCCTATCACATTTCAACCCAGGGATAAGGATTCAGGATTGGTGGAGCTGTGGAAGTATTCCCTTTAAGCATAAACATTGATTATTATTAATAAAATTTGATTTTAAGCTATATATTGTAGAATACAAACAACATAAAAATCAATTGTCCTTATTAAAATCTCAACTTATATAATGTCAGATCTCAGTGAGAAATCACAAAAAGAAAAAAAGAAAGTGGGATTTGAGAACTTCAAAATTTCACAAACTGCAGTTTGTAATCCACAGAATTGTGCTTTATGGTTCTTTAAAATTCATGTAATTATACACGAGATTTACAACAACCATTACACTTTAACATGCAGAATAATCAGAAAGCATTATACCATACAATAAATGCGATAGTGCTGATAACAGTTACTTAAAAGTCAATCAATACAGTAGAATTTCACTGATTGTCAGTAATGAGAAGACCTGCTTCTGATGACCAATTTTAGATAAAAATTTTACAACTAATGAGGAGAAATTAATAGATAATTTAATAGCTATTTTTGAGGAGACTATTTAAATAATAATCACTAAAGATAATACAAAACACTTGTATAACATGGAAAATATTTATTAATAAGCCTTTTAAATAAAATTATCAAAGAAAACTTAAGTAACTTTCCAAATTTAAATAAGCTTGAGGTACAGTAAATTCATATAACCTTCTTGATTTCTTTGCTTTACACACTAACATAGTTGTAATATACAGTATGATGTTCAGGCCTATTCCTTATACTAACTGTGAGACCTTGGGCAATCACTAGCCTTCTCTTTTGCATTTTGCTCATCTGTAAAATGAGGGAATTGGACTAAAGTAAATAGACAGAATGAGTGATAAAGATAGAGCAAGTGCAAGGCAGGAGAGGAGACATTTAAGCAACCCTACCTGGAATCCCAACATGTAATACAGCTGCTCCACTTGAAGCCCTTTTATAAGCGTCAGACCCCATTCTGTAGATACGTAACCTCAAAGTTTTCATTACATTACATTTGTTATCCATATTCACTCTCCTTACAATTTCTAATCACTTGGTTTCTTACGCTTCCTACATGATCTTTCTGTCATCATCTACCTGATTTCTTCTACAATGTTATTAATGATAAAATATTTGTTTCTTTTTCTTAAGTACTAGTATTTCTTTTTTGTCAGTTATACATGTACCAATTATCTCAATACTTCTATTTTTATAGTTTTAATTCTTTCTCTGTCCCTCTCAAATCCAGGCCCATATTTCACTGCCAGATTCGATTATTGACTTAACTAACACTGTATGCATTTTATATGTATATTACTATGTTCCCTGAAATTCTAGTATACTATTCAAATAAATGAACCTTTCATTTTCTACTTATCACTGTCTGAACTTACCATTGTAAACATTTAGATGTAATAAGTGACATTTTCTATAGTTTTATTATTAGTAATAAATTTACAGCATGCTTATTACTTCCCTAACAGGTCATTGTTTTATTTAATGAATAGGTGCCCTGATGCATAATTGTTTTCCTATTAGGTTAAGAATAGAAAAGTAGAATGGAGCACAGCGATTTGCAAGTCAACCTATTTTTCTTCAAATAGGATGTTTATAACAGATGATACAGCATTTTACTTGCTATATTTATTTCATTTTTACTTTTTCTGTACTTTCTGTTCCTTTCTATGCTTCTTTTATTATGCATTATTGAAAGGTAAACTTTTGTATTTCAATGCCATATTGAAAAAAAATGAGTCCCTATATAACACTTCTGTTTCTTTTCTTCCTTTTTTTTTTTTTTTATTTTTGAGATGGAGTCTCGCTCTGTCACCCAGGCTGGAGGCAGTGGCACTATCTCAGCTTCCTGCAACCTCCGCCTTCCAGGTTCAAGGGATTATCCTGCCTCAGCCTCCTGAGTAGCTGGGGTTACAGGTGAGTGTCACCACGCCTATCTGATTTTTGTATTTTTAGAGTCAGGTTTCGCTACGTTGGCCAGGCTGGTCTCAAACTCCTGGCCTTGAGTGATCCACCTGCCTCAGCTTCCCAAAGTGCTGGGATTACAGGCATGAGCCACCATGCCCAGCCTCCTGTTTGTTTTCAATGTTTATAACTCTTGCTATGTAATTGTGGTGTCTCCCTCTTTATTCAACAATATAAATTTTTTCCAAATCCCTCCTAAAAAGTCTCTGGGGCAGAATTTATTGAATTCAGCATTCAACTAGTAACTCTCATCACAAATACAAACTATCAAACAGGTATCCAGAAAAACATTTATCTCTCAAATATGAAACTTTTATTTATATTGATATTTCCTAAAACATATCTCCATGCTGTACTATGCAGCCATAAAAAAGGACGAGTTCATGTCTTTTGCAGGGACATGAATGAAGCTGGAAACCATCATTCTAAGCAAACTATCACAAGGACAGAAAACCTAACACTGCATGTTCTTACTCATAAGTGGGAGCTGAACAATGAGAAGCACATGGACACAGGGCGGGGAACATCACACACCGGGGCCTGTTTGGGGGTGGTGGGCTGGGGGAGGGATAGCATTAGGAGGAATACCTAATGTAAATGAAGAGTTGATGGGTACAGCAAACCAACATGGCACATGTATACCTATGTAACAAACCTGCACGTTGTGCACATGTACCCTAGAACTTAGTGTAATTTAAAAAATACATATCTCCATGCTAATATTTGGCAATCTGTCCATACATACTCAAATTAATATTTGGCAATCTGTCCATACATACTCAATTAAATATTGTATCAAATTTGAGATCAATAATGTATTTAAAGGTGGTTGCCATCATGCACAAAAAATCATCTTATTGCTGGACTAGTTATTAATATATTTAATTTAGAATTTGATAGGTATATATAGATTTGCTCATTTGGGAATATAGGAAATACTCACTGGATATAGTGAAAGATTTTTATGTATAGAATGTAGATCCATGTAGTCATATCTGAGAACCGCTAACAAAGTTGCTAAGGATTGCTTTAATAATCAGCTGTAGCTCATTTACAATTGTCGTAATAAAAGGTTTTGAGTCTATCTAACATATGTCAACCTTCTTTTTTGTAGAAATTTGGGTAATTCTGTATCCTTGCCCATATCTAGTTACTGCAAATAGCAGAATTTCCCTCACCTCTATCAGGAAGACAAGACCCTAGCATTTGTGCTTGTACTCTAACCAATCTCTTTTCAGGCTAGTCAGTTAATTAGCAAAAGACAGGTGTTCAGAATTGAAGTGGCACAACCTCAAATACATGTAACCTCAATCAAAGGAAACTAGGTAACTGGTAGACAGGGGTCAATGGAATGAAAGGTTTCCTTTTTATGCCATGCTCTTTTATAATGTTTCTTAACACATGCATACATTACCTATTCAAAAAGAACCTCAATTTTATAAAAGTCTATGTATATTACGCAATATAGGATAGTAAACTCATAGCTTATATATGACGAGCTATGGCTAAAACACTGGAAAATGAACTAACTCTTGCGTAGCTTTTTTAAAATATTGCCTATTCAATCTTACTATTTTTGTTTCACTTAGCAAACTCTTCCCAAGGAGGATACCAAAGAAACTTCAGCCATTCTAGGTAAAATACTAAGAATTCTTACATGGTCAAAAATTCCTGAGATTCAACTCTACTTTTTGCTTATGTCCAAGTATTCTGTAGATGTTCATCAAATTTGCCAACTACATGCCTTCCAAATGGGTAACTTGTTTCCAAAAAAGTGCAGAGAAAGAGAGGGAAGAAAAGAAATACCTCCAATTAGAAAAAAAAAGTTAATGTGATTACAGGTATACTGAGAAGGACTGTAACCAAGATAAGAATAAGACAGACAAAGGGGAGAGAGAAAGGAAACTATCTCGCCCTCTGCACCTTATACCAATCCTGACATCACAAATGCTTCCTCCATCATTTAATATCAACCTTGTTTTTTTAGAATGCTAATAACTTGAATAAAATATACTCCATGTTTGATACAATAGGATTAGGTTTTTCTCCCTTTATCTTGTACATGATACAAGTGCCAAATGACTATGTATTTTCTTCTACTTTAAACAGCTAGACAGATGCAAGAACATTCAGTTCCACCACCAGGTTTTTCATTGTGAACCCAAATGTTTACAGCTATAAAAGATGCTAAATTTTCTTTATTTTGAATCTTACACAGACAATAAAAGGGTGTCTAGAACTAATGCCGAAAAATTGTCTGGATAGGCTATACCTGTGATATCTATGTTCATCTAGGAAAATAAAGACAGCTACTCTTAAATGGTGATATAGTGATAGAACACTGTTTAAGCAGTATCTTAATTCTATCAATATTTAAGTGTCATCTGCACGCACTGTAGAGATCTCTGACTCACCCACACTTACTTGGATAGAAGCCAAGCCAAGTAACTTGATTTACCGGTTTCATCCTTCTTCTATCACATCAAACTGAAAATATTAATTTGTGAGTCACATAGGTGACAACTGAAGATGTGCAAATTAAAACTCTGAAGGTCAGATAAAGTTTTATAGACATAAGATAACCAATCAAATGAAAAGGCTGAATGCTTGGCTCAAGTGTTCAAATTTGTTACTAAGGGCAACTAAATTGTCTCTTAAGGATTTACTAAAGATTCTTAAGGAGAATAACATCATACCATACAACTTTAAAAAGAAAATGAGTGTCCTATAAGCAATGTGAAAGATAAACCAGAAGAAGAAACTGAAACACTTAGAAGGCTATCAAAGCATTATAGTTGTGGTACATTTGAGTTGACAAGAAATAGAAAATAAGGAAGGGGAATAAAAAGAGGAAAATTCGGAAAAAAATGTTGAAAAGGAAAGTTTGGGTTACATTAGGTAAATGATTGAAAATGGGGTCAAAAGTCAGAAAGTATGAATGAGAACCCTGAGATTCTTAAATTGGAAACATAGAGATGCTATACACAATTCTTAAGAATATATATACTTATTATATAAGCAGTTAATATTAATATGAACAATTATGAAGGCTGATTTAGAGATGGGAATTCTGAGTTCAGTTTGGGATACATGAAGTAGACAATACTGAAGGCAGCTGGAATTTTAAGACAGGGAAGAAAAGAAGCTATTGTTTCTGAAGTTTGTGGATCATTTCTGACGAGGTGGTAATTTAAGTCATGAACTCTTCCTGGCAATGAATATAGAAGTATAAGAACAGAGAGCCAAGAACAGAATTTTATTATTCCTTAGGCATGGGCGTAAATTGGGCCCAACAAATGAAGAGAAATCAAAGAGGAAATAATATTATTTTGTCACAGAAGGCAAGGAAGGAAAGAATGTCAATCTTTTCAAAGGCTGCAGAAAGGTCAAGGAAAACGAGACTTAAAAATAGATAATTTAAGTTTGCCAGCTTTTCACTAATATCTAAATTTTATGATGTTATGATGAAAAATAATCCACCCTAAAGGACAAGGACTGCCACCACTGACTATATTTAGAAAGATGAACCAAATAATTAGAAAATAATTACAAAAACGGACGACTCAAAATTGTTATGAGCAGAAGCAGTACTATTGGGAAATATTTGTATCTAAATAACTTGTTTGGATAAATAAATTCTGATACGTTCATTAAATATCACATTGCATACACAATTCATAGGCGAGGGCCTACGCTACCTTTATTCCTTTGTCTAGCCTTGGCCCCTTGATTATGCTCATTCCCTTCCTAGGTCAACTTTTTAAAAGTATTTAATTTTAATTCCTCAGTCTCATCACAGTAAAGGGAATTTATGCCGTTTATTTATATTTTCACTGGAGACTAATAAATACTAATATAATACTGTTAGGAAAGTTTAAATACTGCTATTTTCTTTGGAGACTAATAGAATGCTAATAGAATACTGCACTGAAGAGTTTAAAGAGTGTATGTAAAGTCAGATAAATGAAATTTATTCTATGGCGGAAGTAAGTCACATGCTTCGAGGAAGGCACTGACTTTTGTGCCTCCTGGGTAAAAGTTGCAGTAAAAAATAGACTGCAATTTTAACCATTTGATCCTTTAACTAACGTTCGTGAGTTTCAGAGCATTTAGAACACATTGTCTTAAAATACACACTTGATGTTCGTTTAGTGGAACTTAACCTATTCAAAATTAGTAAGATGAGAAGTGAATCTCCTAGTTAATGAGATAATATAAAAATTTACATGTAGTTTATAGTGGTAATTCCACAATAGAAAAATGCAAGAAGGAAAAACGATGTCTCCCCAATAAAAATATAAAACCACAATACAGACAAAAAGGCAGGCAAATTCTTCTGTAATTATTATTTTATCTCTACTAAACTTCAATTTTAAAGATATTCCAATCAGCCTGGCTTGATAAATCAAAAAACTCCATAGTTGCATGAACCATGAACACATACATTAGGTATATGTTATAATACAATTTAAAGTGCTTGTTAGGTCATAAATTCATTCTAAAGTAGTCACATTTATCATGATTCATAAAAATTTCTCAGTTCAAAACATTCAGAATATTAGTTAATAAAATAACACTATACATAAAATAGTTTAATTAGTTTTTACATGCATACAAATCCAGACAAAGCAATCTAATGTCTATTTATATACACAAAGATTTTCAACATTCTGGATTGTATAATAATTTTGCAGAAAACACTGCAATCCTCACAAAAACTGCAGTGCCATTGCCTTTTAGCTCTTCAAAAATTAGAGCAAAATAAAGAAATGCAGTAAGATACAAAGATTGCAAAAGATAATTAGTTGACTACCTCCCAGTTGACTCGATTCTTGACTCCCCAAATGAACCACAGTAGTTTATACATATAAATACCATTCAATGCAATTCAGGTCTTCTCTAGGAACTTTTGAAGTCC
This sequence comes from Homo sapiens, assembly GCF_000001405.40. NCBI lineage: Eukaryota > Metazoa > Chordata > Mammalia > Primates > Hominidae > Homo > Homo sapiens. Next base: position 86,211,999 of record NC_000023.11, on the reverse strand, counting down.
AGATGTTGTCTTTCTTTTGTGACTTTTTAAATAGCTGGTAAACAATAAACTATCTATAAAATGAACTGGTTCAACATTTTTTACAAACAACTCTAACAGAGTGCACATACAGAAATTACTATGTTTTCCACAAAAGTCTGAATCACTTCTGTAAACTGCTAGTTGAAATAAAATAAAATAGACAAGTGACACTTTGGAACTCACACTTGAATTTATACTTTAGATGAAAGCCTCAAAGTACCAAATTTAAATTTAAAAGAACATACTTAGGATTTCCAGATCAACCATATTTTGCCAAGGTAAAGGGTGTACAAATAGCACTACAAATATCCAAAATATGTCATTTGTCAAATTCCTGAACTTGAAGGGGAGTTAAAACTATGAATACCAATGATTGCTCTTCTTTTGACCTCCTTTTCTTTAATTTAGATTTTCTGTATCATTCATAAGAATGAGAAACTGCTGGTCACCAACAGAACTATACCAGAGTCATAATCTCCCTTCTGACTCCCAATGAATAGTACACAAATTAGCTATTATTTAATGAGCCAGCTATGCTTGACATCCCAATGTTTCCTCCAATTCTGCTTCAACAGTTTATATTAATGACAGAAGCAAACAAATAGATACCAATATCTAGTCACAGAAACAAGTCTTGCCTAAAAGGAAAAATATATAAATATACTTAAGAGTAGAAATCAGCAGTAATTTATAAGCAAAAAATCAGAGCGGCAAACTTTTTGTGTGAGCAAGAACAAGAACGTAGCTTCCACCCCAACAATGTATCTCAAATGACTTCATTGTATTCTAAGTACAGATAAAATAGTTTCTGTTTGATTATTTCTTTTAAAAGCTCCTTTTCTGTGGCTCATCAGAAAAGAAAAGCCCCAAGGTCACCTATCAATAACAGAACAAACCCTCAGTAAATCACAGTGCTTCACAAATAAATTCCTCATCAGTAATTAAAACCAGGCCTCTCTGGCCCTGTGTTATCAGCTCATCAAATGCATTGCTCATCTAGAATAACAGATCCACATCTGCAGTCATTACAGCACGCCAGATAAATCAATCCTCTCAATGATGCTTTGAACCATCTCTGCTCCCTTTTAACCAGCCCAATATTTATTTCCCCCTGACACGTCTGACATTCTATTTACTATAGGCAAATGGAACTCATACGGCAACTTGTAATGGCTTTACCAAATCCCATTGTGGGGCATATCTTAGAAGACTGATGGTTGTCATAAACAAGGTTTTATGGTGTAAGTGTGGGCTTCCAACTTTTTTTCCCCTAGAATTTGACTTCTTCAGTGAAGGTTTATTACACTGGATTGCAGGTGAAAGACTAGTAGCCATTGAGAGCTTTCTTAACTAAAAATCAGCAAAAACCTTTTGAGCTGATGTCAGTGTTTCTTGTCTTTCTTTTATTTTCTTTTAATTCACTATCAAAGAAATCTTAAACAGAAGTTTGCAAAACCAAAGTCCATAGACTAACAACAATAAAGTTACTACTAATTCATTCCTTTGCTTTTTGAGATTTTTTTAAAAATTAAACTCTCACAAGGTTAAATGAGGGAGCTTTTTAAATTAGTATTCTTAAAAGGATATAATCACACTCAGAAAAATTATACACATCCTAAATGAAAAAGTACATGCATTTTAATACAAAATCGCTTTTGTGATCATGATATAATATGTAATTCAAAAAAATAGAGATAGTAATCATGCTTTTGAACAAAATGGGCATTTTTAATGGTAACAAATGAACCAATACTGTGAAGAAAAATAAAACTAGAAAATTTAACAGTTGTGTTATGCCAGTCAGCCAAATTTTGGGTGGCTATGCACAAACCATTCTTCACTGCACTGCACTACCTATCATGGCAGCAATTATGCAAGGCTCAAAAGGGACTCACATCAAATTATCATCACAGTGTTAGTGGAGCTCACTCTTGGCATATATTAAACTTATTTCGTTACGCCATCATAATATTTGAAAGAAGCACAGTCACCTTCTTTTCTAATGATTTTTTTTCTTCATAAGCACAAAGCTAAAGCCCATAGTAGGTGGTGAATGCTGAGATCATCTTCTAAACATTGATTCAGAATGACAGGATATAGTCTTTTCCTTGATGAAATTTCTATATTTATCACTCTGTTGTTCTTGTGTACTGATATTATTGCTCTCAGAGGCCAAAGTTTGAATATATTGGATTTTGAAATAATGGCCTAAAGCATTGAGTTGCTGGACCATGATACACAAGTGGTAGGAGGCCAGCTCCTCCCTCTAAGCCTCCTTCCACTCACTCATGTGAAGGAGGAAAAGAAAAACACAGATTCTAAGTTGAAACTTTTGGGGAGCCTGTGTTATCTGCACTGGGATGGAAATTATGCATTGAGTTTTCGAAGGACTCTGAGGAATACAAACAATGAGGATATCCTGAGCAAGATAAATCAGCCTACTACAAAGGTACAGTAAATCACATAAAGCCCCTTGTTTGAAAAATAAAAAGTGTCATTTCTGGCTTCACTTAACACTACACATAACAATAATCTCAAAGTAAAATACAGTTTGATTCATTGCTCTAATTTAAGGAAATGCAATCCAAGCAGACAACAAACTTGGTTTAAGAGTTTGTTTGTGTTTACGGAGGGTTAGATAGAATCACCAAGCTCATCATTTCCCTTTAACGTACCATGGAAGATGTTATCTACTCAAGGGTTGATAGGAGACCTGGCATCCCAGACACTCTTTGCCAGTCTTGATTGTCTAATGAGGCTAATCAAAAGAAACAAACTTCTTTGCCTTTATAAACAAGTGCCACATCCATAGGTGGAAGATAGAAACCACAGAAACTGAGAACTAATGAGGTCTTAGAGATCACAGGTGAGAAAACTGTGATGCAAAGGAGCATAGCTGATGTGCCCAAGGTCTCACAGCTAGATAATGTATGAATGATGGAAACTAAGACTGAGTGCCTTAAAGCTTCATGCCTATGAAATAGCAGACATAATCATGAACAGTAGACATGATCAACTGAAATGCTTTGTTTGGCCCTATCAGCATTCTGCGTTCCTGCACTGTACCTAAAGCAATAGTAGAAGGACTCAGATGAAGAAACTTTAGGTTTATACTTTTGAGCCCCCTAAAAGCAGGAACAGGAACAATACCATTTTTGAACTTCCAGGACAAAACGCAATTGCTGGAATGTAGGTGTCCAATAAATGCTTGCTCAATTAATAAAATAAATAATTTTTCAACTTAAGTCAAGGGGTGTGCAAGATGGTTCCTTCAAGTCCGTGAGTTCCTTTGAGTCCATGAGAAATAAAAGGGAAAGATACACGCAAAATTCTTGAACTACATAGTAGAAAAAAGGACACTATAACTCACCAATTTATTTATACATACTGTGCTAAAACTGGTCACAAAAATGGCAGTCAGAGTAATAGTGCTAATATTTTTTATGGTCCTTTATATTTGGGAATCTTGAAAAAGGAAAGTTAAGCTTCATAACATCTTGTATAACATAGTTAAATATTATTACCATATTTTACAGAAGGTAAATTCAAGAACAAAAGGTGTGAAGTTGGATGTTCACAGTTAAATAGGAAGTTTATGACAAAATTGTCAATGTAATCCATGAACCCTGATCTTCAATTCTTAACACAACCAATTTTACAGTTATAATGGCCATGTGATGATAATAAAAGCTACATTTTTATGTTTTTCCTAGTAAGATTTCAAAGTCCTCTAAAACATGCTGTCTGCCCAGGAGTTAAATTTCAAAAAAAAAAATTATTATTATTTGTGATCAGGAAACATTTATGATATATTCATACCTTATATTAGAAACTGTAGTATTTTCTGATTGTAATTATATTAATATTGAGTAACAAAATATGACTACCACACTTAAAAAGTACTATAGAGGGCAGACTGAAATGCTTAACCTGCTGGGATGGGTTGTGTTTCTGCTTTTATTTTCTTTAACCTAAAGCAAATACACTGTTACAGGGCCTCTATGAAGTAATGGAAATGAAAAATATTAAAAACTAAAGTAGAATAAAATAAAGCTGAAATAAGTATTATAGTATAGAAAATGGTTCAGTCCAAATTTTTACCTCAAAGCTACTTATCTTGTAACATGAATAAGTATTTTTCTTCCTTTTTAGGATGTGTAAGCAGATCATTACAAGCATAATTCTCAATTATAAATGTTTTAAGTCAAAACTTTAGCGCCAACACCCATTACCTGTCTTTTCACATTAGCAACACCAAATTATACTCTTTCTCAGTCTGTTTATGGATCCACAAAAATAGTTTTATTTTAAAATACAGAAGTTTGTTGTTGACAGTTTCTAGATTCATTACTGTCTTCTGTCAGAATCATAATCAGTAACAAAATCCTAAAAATCTGTTTTTTATTTTTATTTTTATTTTATTTTTTATTTTCTACTAGATTGTTTATATTTATGGGGTACACAACATATTTTGATACAGGCACACAATGTGTAATAATCACACCAAGATAAATGAGGCTAAAAATCTATTTTTGGTGCACATATATTTTAGCATACACCCAGTCAATTCTGTGGATGCAATACATCCACTAAAATGATCCTCGCACCAGTGCCAAAGCAATATGATGCATAGATTTGCACAGAGACTGATTATAGAGTTCATGAAACCAGATTACAATGGATTTGTGTTCTAAGACATACAAGAACATCACCCAATCTATATCTCCCCTTCTTGGCAACAGAGACGGAAGAGTGGCCTGAAACACAAAATAATGGACTCAGAACTGGGAACTTGTATCTGTGCCTGACTAATCTTCATAAGTCATTTTATTTTACATCTTTGTTCATGGGATTCTTCATGATTGAAATGGTTTTTAATGGTGACTCTCCCACCCAAAACCATGGAAACTTTGGGTTAAACTTGAAAATGTATACTATTTAACAAGCTCCCTCTAGTCTATAATGTTCTCCTAAGTTTGAAAATCACTGCTTTATGATGTTAAGAAATGACATTATCAATTTAAAAATGTATTACAAAAAAGATTTAAGGTGCTTACCCAATTATGCAACTTACTTTCCCTCCAAAAATATGAGAACAAAAATCCCATGTTATGAAAGTGCATTAGCCTCTTCGGGTTACTGACATCGATTTCATGTGTGGGCAACACGCTAGGTTTGAAAACTATGGTGGGGTAGGATCCAAAGATGGGCTTCCAGATAGTAAAACTGTGAAGAAAATAAGACAGTTTACACCCAACGAAGCAAACAGGCTATTATGTTTCCCATTTACAGATGAGGAAAGAGATTTAGCAAGGCTAAATGACTTTGCCATGACTACATATTTGTAAATTCAGGAGCCATGACTTGAACTACTGTCTTCTGACTCTAGTCTGGCTTCTGGTATCTTTCTATTGTATCATGACGCCTTCCTCATAAGTCAAATGAATACATTTGTATTTTATTCTATCAGCAGATAAGTGTACAAATCATTGTACATTTTACAAATGCAGTACATACTTTATCAACAGTGTTCATTTAGACAGGCAATGCAAGGGCACAAGGTACTAAACAGACTCAGACACAACCATCATCAAGTGCAAAAGATTCTCAGGGAAGCGCATTCTTCACCATGTGCCAACAGAACGCTAACTAGGAGAGGATTTGTAAAACAAGTAAACCTAGTTTCTTTTTTTTTTTCCCCTTTTGGACTATGCCCCAGTGAAAATGACCTAAAAACAGGCTGAATGTATATACCAAAGAGTGCAAATTCATATGTAATACTGAATGAACAGAATGATAACATGAGTGTAGTTCATCAGGGACAACTTCCTAGCAAGGGACTGATCAGGGTTTGGTTCTTCACACATATAATGCAGATTGCACTAGCTCTTCTAATCATTTATTAGTGGTAGACCTCCAAGTAAGTCATTTCCCTTCCCTATAAAATGAGATAAAAGTCTGCTCTACTTAACTCTCAAGTTTTATGAAAAGTCAGTGAGAGAATATGTATCAAAGTACTTTGTAAAACATGAAAGCTATTGATTTGGAGTAGGCAGTAGGTAATAGGTTATAACTCAGTTACAAACATTTGAACATAGAAAACCACATCTTAGGCTGGGACGGGTGGCTCATGCTTGTCATCTCAGCACTTTGGGAGGCTCAGGTGGAAGGATCACTTGAGGTCAGGAATTCGAGGTCAACTTGGGCAACACAGCAAAACCTCATCTCTACTAAAATTTACAAAAGAAAAAATAGCCAGGCATGGTGGTGCATGCATGTAGTCCCAGCTACTAGGGAGGCTGAGGAGGGAGGATGGGTTGAGCCCAGGAGGTTGAGGTTGTAGTGAGCTATGATCATGCCACTGCACTCCAGCCTGGGTGACAGCAAGACCTTGTCTTAAAAAAAGAAGAAGAAAGAAAAGAAAGAAAAAGAAGGAAGGAAGGAAGGAAGGAAGGAAGGAAGGAAGGAAGGAAGGAAGGAAGGAAGGAGGGAAGGAGGGAAGGAGGGAAGGAGGGAGGGAGGGAGGGAGGGAGGGAGGGAGGGAGGAGGGAGGGAAGGAAGGAAGGAAAGGAGGGAGGGAGGGAGGAAGGAAGGAAAGAACTCAACCCAGTGTTTCTCAGGCTTATTTGAAAATAAAGCTTCTTATTCTGGAGGGGATGGGAGAAATCTTTTAAAATCTTCAAAACTCATTTTCTATTGGGCACACTTGGAGAAATATACTTTATAGAAGTGGAACGACTCTTTCCAGTTATATAGCCCTGGGTAAGTCATTTGTTTCCTGTGAAACTCAGTTTCCTTACCCATAAAATAGACATTATTTCAAGAATTCAGTGAAATAAGATGTGAACATGTTTGGAAATTACATTCTTCACTTTTAATTATTTTTAATTATTATCTTTTATTATATTGTTGGACTTGTGCTAAGCAGCAAATTATTCTAACTGTACTCATCACTTATTGCTTTAACTACAATTTGAAAAGTGTTTCTGAATTTATATTTGTTACTTTAAATTTTCAAAGTAATTAAATGATGTGAACCCAGCCCTGTGACTTTATCTCATCCACAGGGAGACAAAACTATAACCAACAAAACTAGACCAAATTTTGAAACAATTTGATGTGCCTTGCTTTAGCTCAAGTCTCAAATATCATCTATAAAATAGGAATAATATCTCCCATCCGATTGAGCTGCTGCTGTGAGTGCCAATATAAATCAGATCATGGATAAAAGGCTTTGGAATAAATAAACAAGGATCATAATTAGTATTATCAAAAAATAGTAAAAATTAAACCTTACCAAGGTGCAAACATCTTTCAGATAATTTCATAGTCATCCCCTGAACATCGATTTACCACTTTTCCTAAATTGCAAGTCAACTGACGCAACTCATTCTAAATGTAATATCCCTAGGCCAGCTCACAAAGGTCTATTTAGTGTATAATGTACCTAGAGTAATAGTTCTATTTCAAAAAGACCCAACAGCCACTGCGATCATGCCTTTCCAAACAGTGCTCAGTCCAGTCTTGGGGAGTACTTACGGAAGTTCAATAAACAGCAATGCAACCAAACAACAATTGCTTTTATGTTATGTTCTGATATCTTAGCCTTTTGAGACTTCAATTACAGAAACAGTATCATTTCTTAACAACAAGAACAAAGGATACATTTAAAACATGTCTTTCCACCGGAAATTTGATTCCATAAATATTTTTATAGTACATAGTCTGTAGCAGACATGGTTCTAGGTTCTGAGGAGAGAACAATGAAGAAAGCAGGCAAAGATCTTGCCCTCTTGGAGCTTATATTTTGCTGCAAGATATGCATTCTGACTTTCACCAGGGAAGTTATGAACACATTTTCACAATTAGGTCCAAGTAAGGGAGGACAGATACTTTTTATACTTAAATTTGCTCCACTTCTGCTTAATTTGATGTTGGCTTAAATACACAAATAATAACAAAAAAGACAGCAGTACCACCACCACAAGCACTGCTCCATGTTTCTGAACTCAGGAATTGGGTTAAGGGCTTAGAAGTTTAACTCCTTCTCCGTGTTTGCCAGACTCTACCCTACAGTCCTCTACAATCCCATTACAATCCCGTAGACACCTACTTCTGTTTTAGATAATTCTCCTCCCAAACTCTATTCTTGTCTTTTACTCCCCAGATTAGTTTACAAATGTATTTATCCTCAAGTGCTATCTGTTGAAGAGTAATCTGAGGAGCCTGTTAGAAAATCATATTCCTGGGTCTCAATCAAAAATTGAAATCAAAAGATGGGGGCATGTCCTCCAGATTCACCCATGCTGTTACAACAAAAAATGTTATTTTTATAGCTGAATTTTATACCATTGTGGATATATACCAGATTTTTAAAATCTATTCATCTGTTGATAAACAATTCGGTTGCTTCCATATCTTAGCTATTATCCACATTGTATACATACTTCAAAACATTGTGTTGTACATGATAAATACAATTTTATATGTCGATGTAAAAAATAAATAAGTCAATTTGAGAAAAAAAAGATGAAGGCAATTCCTGACACTGGAATTTACTAGCTGTCATACTTAGACAAGTGATTTCACTTTTTTAAGCATCAGCATTCTCAGCTACCATTTGGGTATGATAATATATTTTCAGTTAACTTCAGAGGCCTTTTTTGAGAATTATCTAAGGTAATTAAAAATTTTTACAAATGCAATCTTCTAATTAAAGTTACTATAAATCTGTATAGTAAGCCTTTTTACTAAGTATACTGAAAATATAAACTTCAACCCAATTTTGTTGAAATAATAGCAATTAGCAAGTTTTCAAATATCTATATTTCTCTGTCTTCAAGAACAAGAAAGCCAATCTATAAATTCTTTATACTTTCACTTGAAAAACAGAATTGTTTTCTTGCCCTTAGAGACCTTAAAAATCATTTAATAGTGAATTTAATGCTCCCAAATGTTACTGGAATGGCAGCCTAGAAAAGAAACTAAAGCTTTAACTTTATGATAATATTATTAATATGTGCTACTAGCAAAGAGCTTTAATCAATCCGATTAGACAACAATTTAATAGCTTCTTCCTATGTACAAGGCAATGTGTGTGGTTCTGAGTCACAAGAGCTGAAAATGTTCATTTTCCCTCTCTTACATTATTCTTTCAATCACCAAATCTTGTCAATGTTATTTCAGCGATAGTTCTCAAACAAATCCCTTCTTCATTCCCATTGCCACTGCCAAATCCTCAAAATCTCTTTGAGCATTACAGAGAACTACATCAGCCTTCTAGATAATCCCCCAGCCTCTGGTCTCCTTTTCCTCTAACCAATCTTTCTTCTGAGAATATTTTCTCCAAGCTTCTAAAAACTTAAGCGTAGCCAACTTCTCTGGGATCTTCTCAAGCTAGTTCCCCAGGCATTTACCCTTCACCTCAATAATACCAAATTACTCAGTCTTTCCAGAAAATGCAAAGTACTTTTACACATCTGTACTTTCTCCTGGTTCTTCTCTCTGCTTAGAATCCCCTTCCTTTCCAACTTTGCCTGAAAAAATATCCTACCTATGCTTCAGGAACAGCTTTTAAAGCCATCTCCTCTGAGAAACAATATGATTCCCACAAGCCAGAATCAATAACTTTCCCATCTCTGTTTCAATCGCACTTTCTTGTATTTGTATATGCCTCTGTTACATAGGTCTATAGTATTATAATTGGTTGAATGCTTGCCTGCCATTCCCACTTAATCCCCTCCTCCATCCTCCCATATAATAAAGTATATGCTCTTCCAGAATAGACGCCATTATTAATCTTTTTGTTTCAAGTAGCTAGAACACAGCCTAGTATGTTACCAGTACTTAATAAATGAAAATTAGGATAAGACAATAAAATGTGGTTTCTGCCTTAAAGTAGCTTATAATCTAGTGAAGGCAGGAATAAAACAAATAAAAATATATATTCTTACTTTGCAAACAAATTTTCACGTTTTTTACTCAATTTTTCCAACTACTTAGGGAAGCAAGTAAGGCGGTTATAATTCCCCTTTTATATATAAATAGGGCTGAGAAAGGATAAGTGACTTGCCTTAATGTCACACAGGAAGTTAAAAGGAGAGGGACAAACTAGAACCTTCATCACTTGACTCTTACTAGAAGGAAGTATACTTCTAGTCTGAAGAAGGTAAAATCATAGCAAGCACTTGCCAAGTTGTATAAATTTAGACTGAATTTAATAGAGATAATGGTAGAATTACTCTTAGCCTACCCAAATAAAATATACATTAATCTAGTAAAGCTGAATTCTACTGAATAAGTTTTATATCTGACTTACTGGTCTATATTTTTTCATTTTCATTCCATAAACTTTTTTTGTTAAATATTTAATATTAAATATGAACAGCAGTTAAATATCTGATGGCTACTCTGTTTGAAAGTAGCTTAAGAGATGGCAATAAACAGATTAGGTATTTTACAATGAACAACAACCACAACTGAGAAAATTGATTTTAACTAAATGCATAAAATGACATTTATCACTTTTTTCTTTTTTAATGTTTAAGTTCAGGGGTACATGTGCATGATTGTCATATAGGTAAACTTGTGTCATGGGGGTGTGCTGTACAGATTATTTAATCACCCAGGTATTAATCCTAGTACCCATTAGTTATTTTTCCTGATCCTCTCCCTCCTCCCACCCACCCCCCTCAAGAAGACCCTGGTGTCTGTTGTTTCCTTCTCTGTGTTCCTAAGCTCTTATCATTTAGCTCCCCCTTATAAGTGAGAACATGCGGTATTTAGTTTTCTCTTCCCGTGTTACTTTGCTAAGAATAATGGCCTCCAGCTCCAGCCATGTTCGTGGAAAGGACATAATCTCATTCTTTTCTATGACTGCATAGTATTCCATGATATTTATTTACCACATCTTCTTTATCCAATCAAATCATTGATGGGCATTTAGGTTGATGCCCTGTCTTTTCTACTGCGAAAAGCACTGCAATGAACAGATGCATGCATGGGTCTTTATTACAGAATGATTTGTATACCTTTGGGTATATACCAAGTAATGGAATTGCTGGGTCAAAGGGTATTTCTGTTTTTAGGTCTTTGAGGAATCACCACACTACTTTCCACAATGGTTGACCTAATTTGCACTCCCACAAACAATGTATAACCATTTCTCTTTCTCTGCAACCTTGCCAGCATGTTATTTTTTTGACTTTTTCATAATAGCCATTCTAAGAGGTATGAGATGGTATCTCATTTTGGCTTTGATTTGCATTTCTCTAATGATCACTGATTTTGAGCTTTTTTTCATATGCTTGTTGGCCTCATATATGTCTTTTTTTTTTTTTTTTTGGAAAAGTTCATGTCCTTTACCCACTTTTCAATGGGGTTGTTTTCTTTTATCTTTTAAATTTCTTGTAAAGTTCCTTGTAGACCCTGTGTATTAGACAATTGTCAGACACATTGTTTGCAAAAATTTTCTCCCATTCTGTATGTTCTCTGTTTACTCTGTTGATAGTTTTTTTGTTGTGCTCTTTAACTTAATTAGGTTCTATTTGTGAATTTTTGCTTCTGTTGCAATTGCTTTTGGCATCTTTGGCATAAAATCTTTGCCTGATCCTATGTCTAGAATGGTATTGACTAGGTTTTCTTCCAGGGTTTTTATAGTTTTGGGTTTTACATTTAAGTCTTTAATCCATCTTGAGTTGATTTTAGTATATGGTGTAAGGAAGGGGTCTAGCTTCAGTCTTCTAGCCAGTTATTCCAGCATCATTTATTGAATAGGGAGTCCTTTCCCTATTGGTTGTCTATGTCAGCTTTGTCAAGGATCAGATCATTGTAGGTGTGCAGCCATAATTCTGGGCTCTTTATCCTGTTCCATTGTTCCATGTGTCTGTTCTTATACCAGTACCATGCTGTTTTGGTTACTGTTGCCGTGTAGCATAGTCTGAAGTCAAGTACCATGATGCTTCCAGCTTTGTTCACTTGCTTAGGATTGCCTTACTTATTTGGGCTATTTTTGGTTGCATATGAATTTTAAAATAGTTTTTTTCTAGTTTTGTGAAAAATGTCATTGGTAGTTTAAGAGAAATAGCACTGAATCTATACATTGCTTTGAGCAGTATGGCCATTGTAATGATATTAATTCTTCCTATCCATGAGCACGAAATGTTTTTCCATTTGTTTGTGTCATCACTGATTTCATTAAGCAGTTGTTTGTAGTTCTCCTTGTAGAGATCTTTCACCTTTCTGATTAGCTGTATTTACTCCTATTTACTATTGTTTACAATAGCTACCGCCTAGGTATTTTATTCATTTTCTGGCAATTGTGAAGGGGATTGAATTCCTGATTTGGCTCTCAGCTTGACTGTTGTTCTGTAGGAATGCTAGTAATGTTTCTACATTGACTTTGTATTCTGAGACTTTGCTCAAGTTGTTTATCAGTTTAAAGAGCTTTTGGGCTGAGACTATGGGGTTTTCTAGATATAAGATCATGTGTCTGCAAACAGGGATAGCTTGGCTTCCTCTCTTCCTATTTGGATGCCCTTTATTTCTTTCTCTTGCCTGATTGCTCTGGCCAGTACTTCCAATACTATGTTGAATAGGAGTGGTGAGAGAGGCATCCTTGTCTTGTGCCACTTTTCAAGGGGAATGCTTCCAGCTTTTGCCCATTCAATGTGATGTAGGCTGTGGGTTTCTCAGAGATGGCTCCTATTATTTTGAGGTATATTCCTTCAATACCTAGTTTTTTGAGAGTTTGTAACATGAAGTGCTGCCGAAATTTATCAAAAGCCTTTTCTGCTTCTATTGAAATAATCATGTGGTTTTTTTCTTTACTTCTGTTTATATGATGAATCACATTTATTGATTTGTGTATATTGAACTAACTTTGCATCCCAGGCATAAAGCATACTTGATCATGGTGGGTAAGCTTTTTGATGTGCTGCTGGATTCAGTTTGCCAGTATTTTCTCGAGAATTTTTGCATCAATGTTCATCAAGGATATTGGACTGAAGTTTTCTTTTTTTGTTGTGTCTCTGCCATGTTTTGATATCAGGATGATGCTGGAATCACAGAATGAGTTAAGGAGGAGTCCCTCCTCCTCAACTTTTTGGAATCATGTCTGTAGAAGTGGTACCAGCTCTTCTTTGTACATCTGATAGAATTCAGCTGTGATTCTGTCTGATCCTGGGCTTTTATTGGCTGGTAGGTTATTTATTACTGCCTCAATTTCAGAGCTCATTATTGGTCTATTTGAGGATTCAATATCTTCCTGGTTCAGTCTTGAGAGAGTGTATTTTTCCAGAAATTTATCCATTTCTTCTAGATTTTCTGGTTTATGTGCATAGAGGTATTCATAATATTATGTGATGGCTATTTGTATTTCTGTGTGGTCAGTGGTAATATCCCCTTTTTTGTTTTTAATTATGGATCTTCTCTCTTTTTTTCTTTATTAGTCTAGCTAGCAGTCTATCTGTTTTATTAATTTAAAAGAAAAACTAACACCTGGAGATGTTGATCTTTTGAATGGTTTCAACTGTCCCAATCTCCTTCTGTTCAGCTCTGATTTGGGTTATTACTTGTCTTCTGCTACATTTGGTTTTCTGGGCTTGGTTTTCTCTTGGTTCTCTAGTTCTTTTAGTTGCTATGTTAGGTTGTTACATTGAGATCTTTCTAACTTTTTGATGTGGGTGTTTATCGCTATAAATGTCCTTCTTAACACTGCCTAAGCTGTGCCCCAGAGATTCTGGTATGTTGTATCTTTGCTTTCATTAGTTTCAAAGAACATCTTGGTTTCTGCCTTAATTTCATTATTTACCCAGAAGTAACTCAGGAGCAGGTTATTCAATTTCCATGTAACTGTCTGGTTTTGAGTGAATTTCTTAGTCTTGATTTCTAATTTGATTGTGCTGTGGTCTGAGAGATTGTTTGTTGTGATTTCAGTTCTTTTGGCCTTTGTTGAGAAGTGTTTTGTGTCTAATCACGTGATCAATTTTAGAGTATGTACCATGTAGCAATGAGAAGAATGTATATTCTGTTGTCTTTGGGTGGTGAGTTCTGTAGAAATCTACCAGATCCACTTGATTCAGAGCTGAGTTCAGGTCCTGAATATCTTTGTTAATTTTCTGTCTTGATGATCTGTCTGATATTGTCAGTGGGGTGTTAAAGTCTCTCACTATTATTCCATGGGAGTCTCTTTGACGGTCTCTAAGAACTTGCTTTATGAATCTGGGTGCTCCTGTGTTGACTGCATATATATTTAGGATACTTAGGTCTTCTTGTGGAATTGAACCCTTCACCATTATGTAATGCTCTCTTTTTTTTGTCTTTTTTGATCTCTTTTCATTTAAAGTCTGTTTTGTCTGAAATTAGGATTAGAACCCCTGCTTTTTTTTTCTGTTTTCTATTTGCTTGGTAGATTTTTCTCCATCCCTTTATTTTGAACCTAAGAGGTGTCATTGCATGCAAGATGGGTTTCTTGAAGACAGCATACCATTGGATCTTCATTCTTTATCCAACTTGCCATTCATCACCTTTTAATTGAGATATTTATCCTGTTTACATTCAAGGTTGGTATTCATATGTGTGGATTTGATCCTGTCATTATGATATTACTGATTATTATGCAGACTTGTTTATGTGGTTGCTTTATAGTGTCACTGGTCTGTGTACTCCAGTGTGTTTTTCCAAGGGCTGGTAACAGTCTTTCTTTTCTATATTTAGTACTTCCTTCAGGAGGTTTTGTAAGGCAGTTGGCTGGTATCGAATTTCCCTCATCATTTGTTTGTCTGAAAAGGATCTTATTTCTCCTCTGCTTATGAAGCTTAGTTTTGCTAGATATGAAATTCTGGGTTGGAATTTCTTTTATTTAAGAATGTTGAATATTGGCAACCAATCTCTTCTGGTTTGTCGGTTTTCAGCTGAGAGGTCTGCTGTTAGTTTGACAGGCTTCCCTTTGTAGGTGACCTGGCCTTTCTCTCTAGTTGCCTTTAACATTTTTTCTTTCATTTCGACCTTGGAGAATCTGATGATTATGTGTCTTCGGGATGGTCTTCTTTTGAAGTATCTTACTTGGGTTCTCTGCATTTCCTGAATTTGAATGTCTGTCTCTCTAGCTAGGTTGGTTAACTTCTCGTGAATGATATCCTGAAATATGTTTTAGAAGTTGGTTGTACTCTCCCCATCTCTTTCAGGGACACCAACGAGTCATAGATTTAGTTTCTTTACATAATTCCATATTTCTAGGAGATTTTGTTTGTTCCTTTTCTTTTTTTTTTTTTTTTTTTTTTTTTTTGAGATGGAGTCTCGCTTTGTCACCCAGGCTGGAGTGCAGTGGTGTGATCTCGGCTCACTGCAAGCTCCACCTCCTGGGTTCACGCCATTCTCCTGCGTCAGCCTCCCAAGTAGCTGGGACTACAGGCACCCACCACCATGCCTGGCTAATTTCTTTGTATTTTTACTAGAGATGGGGTTTCACTGTGTTAGCCAGGATGGATTCAATCTCCTGACCTCATGATCCACCCGCTTCAGCCTCCCAAAGTGCTGGGATTACAGGTGTGAGCCACTGCATCCAGCCTGCTTGTTCCTTTTCATTCTTATTTCTGTATTCTTGTCTGCCTGTCTTATTTTAGAGAGCCAATCTTATAGCTCTGAGATTCTTTCCTGCGCTTGGTCTATTCTGCTTTTAATACTTAAGGTTGCATTAATAAATTCTTGTAGTGTGTTTTTCAGCTCTATCAGTTAATGTTCTTTTCTATACTGCCTATTTTGTCTGTCAGCTCCTGCATCATTTTATTGTGACTCTTAACTTCCTTGGATTGGGTGTCAATGTACTCTTGCATCTCAATGATCTTAATTCCTATCCATATTCTTAATTCTGTTTATGTCATTTCAGCCATCTCAGCCCAGTTCAGAACCCTTACTGGAGAAGTGGTATGGTCATTTGGAGGAAAGAAGGCACTCTGGCATTTTGAGTTGTCAGGGTTCTAGCAAAGGTTCTTTCTCATCTTTGTGGGCTTATGTTCCTTCAGTCTTTGAAGTTGCTGCCCTTTGGATGGGTTTTTTCTTTTATCCTATTTGATTGCCTTGAGGGTTTGATTATGGTATAAATAGATTCAGCTTATTGGCTTCATTTCTGGAAGATTTTAGGGAGCCAACACCCAGTTCCCAACTCCTGGACTGGGTGCTCTAATGCAGGGGGACTTGTATTGGGCCCTGACTTTGGCTCCTTGAGGTTAGGAATCCACTGCACTGGGGTGTGGGGGTGGTGATGTGCTCCTGGACCACTGCTCACTGCACTCCAAAGGGTGGTGCTGGCCAAAGCATTTTATAGTGTTGTGACAAAGGGACTTGTCCTTATTTGCACATGCCAGCAGCAGCAGTAGCATGGCAGAGTGCATGCTCATTGGCTGTGGCAGGGTGCTAGTGGGTACCAGGATGCCTGCTCCGTGCAGACATTCACTACAATGGCAGAGGCAATGTGACTGGTGGGGGTGCAGGCAGCCCCTGCTGGCAACTGTGTGTGAGGTCACGCTGGTAGTGGTGTTGGAACAGGGACTGGGTGCTGGTGGGCATAGGTCTGTGTGCTTTCTCTGTGTGCCACAGGCAGAGTAACTCAGGGTGGGGGAGGGTATGTTGTTCTCTGTGCCTAGTTGCTCTCCCAAACCAGTGTTGGCACAAGGGCAATGCACTGGCAGAGGCAGGGCAGGCTGGCTCTGTGCCCATCAAGGCTCCATTTGCAATGGCAGTTGGTGAGGGAAATGGAGGTGGACTCCACTCCTGCTGTGGCAGTGGAAGGGCAGAGTGCATGCACACACTATTCTGGCTGGCAGGCAAGGAAACCAAAACCCGCCTGTACACGCACATGCTGGCAAAAAGATGTGCAGGCTTGCTGTGGGCCCAGGGGAAGCTGCAGTGTGGGGAAGGAGCAGGAGGACTGGTGCATGGCCATGGAGGCCCCAGTGCTGGAGCTCTCCACCAGTCAGGCATGATCTGCAACACAGAAGGTATAATGTGGGCCCCCAGAGAACCAAAGTCTGCCCTACTAGCAGGCACGGCCAGGATGGGGCCCCGGGAGAGGCCAGCAGACCAAGGGATGCTCAAGTCGGCCTGGTCCCCTCTGACAGGCAAGACTATCTTGCAGAATTCAAGTCCAAGAGTTCCTCTAAGGCTAATGTCTCCTGTGGGAGCAAGTCAAGCTTAGCGGGTGGCCATCCCTGACCATGCTTTGTTACAGACACTCCTGCGCCAAACCCTCTGGGCTCCACATCAGCTGGCATGCTGCCCCTACCACTTCTCTAAGCAGCTCTCCCTGCCAACTCAAGTGTCCATGGTGGTCAAGGGGTCTGTCTCCTTCTGCCAGGATTCCAGAGGTCCATGGCAAGAGCAGGTTGCTCCTTGTCAGTTCAATTCATTCATTCCTCTGGATTTGCTGGAGGCCAGAAATGAGTCCTAGTGTGCAGTAGCCTGGTGCAGGGTTTCCAGGTTGTTTCCCCTTCAGCCCAGCTTCCATGTCTTCCCTCTGTCCGTTCTCAGTGCCCTCCTTCTGAAGATCTGTTAGTGCGCCAGTTGTCTCATTCCCTTGGTGGCAGCTGTTTCAACTGGCTGCATCTAGTCGGCCATCTTGCCCCCAATATCCAGTTCAAATTTATCTAATTAGCTATATCTTGAAGGGAGAATACATTTTAGTGAGTATATAAGTTTCTTCATGAAGAATATGAAGAATTTTATCCAAGATATACTAAATTCTCCAAACTTATGAGCATTATTTTTGACCAAGTTCCCCATGGCTTTGACATTTTTGCAACAAACATGTCAATGTTAATTAGTCTTCAATAGTCAAATTAGCAGAACTTGGCTAGCCTGGTTTCTTTCTTTGTCACAAGGAATTAAAAATATTTCCATCAATCTGTCAGTTCAGAAGAGAGTTTTGAGTGATATATATAGAGAGGTTACTAGTGGGAAAGGAAGATCATATCAACATGATGTGAACAGCAGAGTTGACGTGAATAATTAGCAGAATTCAATATATATTCCCTTCAACTTAGGTCCACTTAAAAATAAATAAATAAATATAAATATATATAATATATATGTTAATGTCTTTATAAGTGCCATAATCAGGTCTCTAAAAGAAACAATAGAGTCATTCACAAATAGCAGATTAAACCTGCAGTTAGTTGTCTTGTTACTATCTGAAAGAGTTCTTAGTACCTAGAACTTAAAAATTGGTAAGGGCAATTACTGTTCTTTTAAGATACTCACCTTTTTGTTTTGGTGAAGTTTAGTTTACTTCTTGAGAAAAGTCAAGAATTGGACTGAAGTCATAGTCTGTATTCAAAATCTTAAAATATATCTAACTAAAACAGCTATTTGCCCTGACTCACTATACTGTTACAAACCATTTTAAACACTAGCTTTCAGTTATGTCCAGAAAAACTAGATGCTATCTCATTAAGTAAGCATGTTGTTAATAAAGGGTTAAGAGATAATTCATGATTTAAATAAGGGGAAAAATTAATGCAGCCCAGTTTGACCTGGGATATTTGAGCCTACAGTTCAAATGGTTTCCCCTTCAGAATAATGCCCTTGACTTTGTTGTATTTCATTGAGGCATCAGTTTAAGTAAAACCTGCTTATCTTTAAGAAATGCAAAAATAGCAACTGACAACACTATTAATAAACACAGAGATAATCTACTTCTCACAAAGGAAAGTAACTGCAGAAAGAAGGCAGGAAAATTTTCCTTACACCTACTAAAAGAAAACTGCATGGGCTTAAGTTACAATCAATTAAAATTTTTAATTATAAACTAGAACATTATCTTTCTCTAATTCAACATGTCACTATTTTCTAGAAACTAATAAGTAAATAGAATTTATATTCTAGTTATGTTTCATACAATAATTAATTTTACAAAATTAATAAGTGAAATAGAATTCTTATGCAGGAATGAACATTCACCAGAGGGCACTATACTGCATAAAAAAAGAAAAGCAAAATTCTTGCAAATAGTGTATACAGTTTAAATGTGTAAGGATAAGGAGGCTGTGATTCTCCAAATCATTCCAAAATAAATAAAAAGCAGACTTACTTTAAACAAAAAACCTGAAAACGATGACATCCCTTCCTTTTCTAAACTTCTACAGAACTTAAGATTTTGTGTCACAAGTTGTGGAACAAGTAATTATGTTATTTTGTTATTTCATGTGTGCACACTTTGATTACCCCACAGTATTCCTTGAAGATAGGAAACAGGAGTAGATCATTTACTTACTGGCAATTGACTATTCCTGTTCTAATCCTAAATACATTAGTGAACACTACTTGTTAAATTTATTTTAGACGGTTACATAGAGTTAACCAAGTTAACAATTTATAGCAACAATGCCCCAAATCTCTATTGCATATTTGTAAAGGAAGACTGGATCTTTTTCAAATATTACTGTTGTTAATTGCCATCAACTAAACATTCACTATGTAGCTGGCCCTATGTTAGGCTACACACATACACATACACATACACTAAAGTCATGCTAATTGCAAATAGATTGAATAGTTAAAGTTAAAAGCAGCTATTTGCATGATTTAATATTTAATAGAAAATTAATTATAATGTTTCAGTCAAGCTCAATACTGATTGAGCACCTGTTATTTGTAAGGAACTGTTTTGTGGAAGAATCAAAACAAACAAGGCTTGTTACTGATTTCAAGGAGGTAATAACCTAGAAAACAGCAGTCACAAGCACAAAATGCCATTTTCTTTAGCTATGGCTTTTGACCTTTGTTCTGTGAAACTTGCCTGTGTATAAAGCTGAATCTGCATTGAAGAACACCGAACAGATAGTATACACATCTGGGACATCGACAGAGATAAGGCCTGCACCTAACAAGAGTGACAGAGTGCATATGAACCAACATTGCCTCACCTACCAAGCACAAGTCAGAGAATCAGTAGATGCAGGGAAACACAATAAGAATAAAGAGGAACTAAAGTTGAATAAGACTAATCAGTAAAGATTTTTTAAGGTTTGTTTGTTTGTTTTTTGAGATGGAGTCTCGCTCTGTCACCCAATCTGGAGTGCAGTGGCGCAATCTCGGCTCACTGAAACCTCCGCCTCTTGGGTTCAAGCAATTATCCTGCCTCAGCTTCCCAAGTGGCTGGGATTACAGGTTCCCGCTACCACGTTCGGCTAATTTTTGTATTTTTAGTAGAGACAGGGTTTCATTACGTTGGCCAGACTGGTCTCAAACTCCTGACCTCAAGTGATCCGCCCGTCTCAGCCTCCCAAAGTGCTAGGCTTACACCTGGGAGCCACCGCGGCTAGAAAAAGTTTTGAATTAGTTTTCTTCTTAACTTTTATTTTAGGTTCAGGGGTACACATGCACATTTGTTATATAGGTAAATTGCAGGTCACAGGGGTTTGGTGTACAGATTTTGTCACCCACATAATAAGTATAGTACCTTATAGGCAGTTTTTCAGTCCTCACTCTCCTCCCACCCGCTACCCTACACTGGGCCCCAATGTCTGTTGTTCCCTTCTTTGTGTCTATATATACTTGAGGCTTAGCTCCCACTTATAAGTGAGAACATGCAGTATTTGGTTTTCTGTCCTTGTGTTAGTTCTAATAGATTAATGGCCTCCAGCTTCATCATGTTGCTGCAAAGGACATGGTCTTGTTCATTTTAATGGCAGTGTAGTATTCCATGGTGTATATATACCACATTTTCTTTATCCAGTCCACCGTTGATTGGCATTGAAGTTGATTCTGTATCTTTGCTATTATGAATGGTGCTGGAATGAACATACACGTGCATGTGTCTTTAGGGTAGAATGATTTATATTGCTTTGAGTATATACCCAAGAATGGGATTGCTGGGTCAAATGGCAGTTCTGTTTTAAGTTATTTGAGAAATCACCAAACTGCTTTCCACAATGGCTGAACTAATTTACATTCCCATGAACAGTGTATTAGTGTTCTCTTTTCTCCACAACCTTGCTAGCATCTGCTTTTTATTTTATTTATTTATTTATTTATTTTTGAGATGAAGTTTTGCCCTTGTTGCCCAGGCTGGAGTGCAATGGTGCAATCTCAGCTCACCACAAACTCCACCTCCCGGGTTCAAGTGATTCTCCTGCTTCAGCTTCCCGAGTAGCTGGGATTACAGGCATGAGCCACCACGCCCAGCTAATTTTGTATTTTTAGTAGAGATGGGGTTTCTCCATGTTGGTCAGGCTGGTCTTGAACTCCCGACCTCAGGTGATCCACCCACCTTGGCCTCCCAAAGTGCTGGGATTACAGGCGTGAGCCACCGCGCCTGGCCTTTTACTTTTTAATAATAGCAATTTTGACTGATATGAGATGGTCTCATTGAGATTTTGATTTGCATTTCTCTAATGATAAGTAACATTGAGCATTTTTTCATATGCTTGTTGGCCACGTGTTTGTCTTCTTTTGAAAAGTGTCTGTTCATGTTGAAGGAGTAAGAGATATGCATTAGTGGAAATGAATGAAGAAGGCGTTCCAAGAAAGAACACACCTTGATTCAGGAAAATTGAAGTAGATTAAAACGTCTGCTGAAAAGCATCCCTGATAGAGAGAAATGAGTAGTGAAATAGGAATATGCGACAGATGAAAAGCAGGAGGAATTAGTATAGAAGTTTCTGTAACCACGAAAAGAACAAAATTGTAGAGAATTGGATGAGAGTACAAAGGGGACAGTCTCAGAGACATTAACAAGTAAGAATTAGCAGGATTTAGTATTACAGTTTACATATAAAAGACAAAAGAAATGAAGTTTTTATTTTACTTTTTTTTTTTTTTAGATGGAGTCTCACTCTATCGCCCAGGCTGGAGTGCAGTGGCATGATCTTGGCTCAGTGCAGCCTCTACCTCCCAGGTTCAAGTGATTTTCATGCCTCAACCTCCCAAGTAGCTGGGATTACAGGCACATGCCACCACGCCTGGCTAATTTTTGTATTTTTAGTAGAGACGGGGTTTCACCATGTTGGCCAGGCTGGTCCCAAACTCCTGACCTCAAGTGATCTGCCCACCTCAGCCTCCCAAAGTGCTGGGATTACAGACTTGAGCCACCGTGCCCAGCCAGGAAGTGAAGTTGTAAAAAAAATTATTATAAGATTACATGACACTATTAACAAGCTCAAAAAAGGAAAAAGAGTGGCCATCTGGTAATGACAAGATGATAAATTTCATTTTTAAGATGTTTCAATACCAGAAAGACATTAAAATGAGTATTTTCTATTTTAATATCTTGTTTATTACTAATCAGCTACAACTTATATAATATTTTTACAGTCAATTTTTGTACCATAGCCTAAGAAAAGGTATTATTTATATTATTTTGGTTTAGCTACTCACTTAGTAACAAATGCACCCTACTTCAGGGCCTTCAACTTAAACTAACAAACACGCTACTTTATATAACTCATTCTGAGGCTATTATAGCACCATGTAGGCTATTATTTTAAACATGCCTATCTGCATATGCTCTTGTCCATTATTTGAACCTATCAATATGATGGAGTCTTAAACAATTAAATTAATTACATTTGTTCACTGACACGGTTGATGAAGGTGAATGTAACCAAACACCCCCAAACACACCAAACTATCTTCTTCCTACTTATTATAATTAGATTTGAATTCCAGTGATACAAACAGTAATGTGGATGGCCTACTGCACTCAAGATATTTCTGCTAGAGCTGAAAAATAACATACAATGTCAAATTTTCTAAGGACTACTAACTACCCACACTTTCTAAATATGGAGACCTATAGTGCTTTGCATACAATTTAGCTACCTTGGTCCTTAATCTGCTCAAGACAAATTCAAGCATTTTATAGAAATTTTAAAGCATTTCCAAATCCTTTCCAACAACTGTCCATTGATTATATAGATATTCTCTATATAAATACTGAGTCACTTCGAATTAATCTTTTACTAGCTTTTCTGGTAAGATCTTCAATGAATAAATGTTGACTGTCTACCATGTGTTCAGTCATGTGCTAGATGCTGTGGAGGGAAAATGGGGCTTAAGGTATGTGTTGTTTTCCTATTGCTGATGAAATAAATTACCACAAACTTAGTGGCTTAAAATACCACAAACTTTTTCTCTTACAGTGCTGGAGGGCAGAAATCTAAACTCAAGTCTAAACTCAAGGTGTCAACAAGGATGGTTCCTTTCGGGGAGAATCTGTTCCCTTACATTTTTCAGTTTGTAGAGTCCTTCTCTGCATTCCTTGGCTAATGGCCCCTTCCTTGCATCACTCCAACCTCTTGCTTCCATTGTCACATCTCCTGCTACTGACTCTGTCCCTCCTAGTTTGGTCTTAAAAGGCCCCTTTTGATCATATTGGGTCAACATGGAAAATCTGAGATAATCTTTCATATTAAAGTCCTTAACCTTAATCACATCAGCAAAATTCTTTTTATCATGTAAGGTAATATTCACAGCTTCCAGGGATTAGTACAACTTTGAGGAGCCAACCACAGGGCACATCATTTTTTAAAGATAACAACTGATATCAAACACCCTATTTGATAAGATCGGTGGTCTAGCCACCAATAAATACTTTATCCAAAGCCTCAACAGAGAACACCTCCTTGCCTGTAACTAGACCAAAGGTTAGGAGTAGAGGGCAGCACAACTTTTCCCAGCTGCTAATTCACCCTGAGTTTCAACTACTATCGTCTCTATCTTCCCTTAGTTTTTAATTTACAGCAATTAGACTGGGGACCAGTGAAAAGAAAATGGTCTTAGAGACTCCTGCCAGTTACATCATTAGCAGAGGTTGGCTGTCCTGGAATTGTTATTTGGCAATTGCTACTTGGCGTTCCTTTCATCAATTGTACAGATATGTCAGACCACATGAAGTTTTTAAAGCTCACTTTCTTAGGGGTTAAAGAGGCTATCCGATCAATAAAATAACCTCCTTCATTACTGGTGTACCATTTCCACATCAGTAGTCACTGGAAGATAGGACCAGTAGTTCTCTACAAACTATTATAAAAGTATATGGCAATAAATCAAGTCTAAGATTTCATTATTATTTCCTTTATCCTATGTCTTTTTATATCTTTCTTCTAACCTTATTACTATCCTTCTGACATTCTATGTCCTAGAGGTTCCTCCTTTCTTATAGTGGAATCTCAGACTTAGATACATTCTGGTACCTTCATAGTCTCAAATTGGAGGAAAAGTTTTGTAGAAGTGTTTAAAAAAATAAAATCTAAGTCAGGGCTGGGCTTGATGGCTCAGGCCTGTAATCTCAGCGCTTTGGGAGGCTAAGGTGGGCAGATCACTTGAGGCCAGGAATTTGAGACCAGCCTGGCCAACACGGCGAAACCCTGTCTCTACTAAAAATTCAAAAATACAAACATTAGCTGGGCGTGGTGGCACACACCTGTACCCCCAGCTACTCATGAGACTGAGACACGAGGATCACTTGAATCTGGGAGGCAGAGGTTGCAGTGAGCTGGGATCCCACCACTGTCCTCTAGCCTGGGTGACAGAGTGAGACTCCATCTCGAAAAAAAAAAAAAAAAACTAAGTCAGATAGCAAGCTACCTTATTTGTAATTATTGAATAGAAATTATAGCTCAACTAAAATATATTACAGTTTCTATATTATAAAATAAGTTATTGAAATAGAGATTATATCTAAACCTTTCTCTGTGCACTCTAATAGTGGTTTGTGCCGTGCTAACAATTTCCTCTGGTGGCGTTCAATTATAATCTTCAAGTAGGTGACACCTCTAACCATATTTTCTCAATATCCAGTTAAATATCTATCTCACTCCACTCATATAATATCTCTCATTAAATTTTGTCATCCTATATATCTGTAATACTTCATTAACTACTGTTAAGCTATTTCAAGATCACAAAGAAAACTGAGTTATATGGCAATAAAATAATATTATAGGAAACATTATCCAATGACTAGAAGACTCAAAGTAAATAAATTCCCGTTTCTTTTCTACCCAAATTGCCAATTTGACTTTAATAAGACATTTAGTTATTATGAGACTAGGTTTCTCCATCTGCAAAATGAAATAGTACCAACCTGACAAAGGTGTCATGAAAATATATGTATAAAGAAGAAAGTCCACATATGGCCTAAAATTTAGATCACCACTATTATTAGAAAAATGTTAATTGATTGACATATTGTATACCTTTGTCTGGGGTCTGGACCCCAGCTTGTATGGATTCTCATTACTCCTTTCTTTTTCCAATGTACTTCTCTTGCAATATTATGTGAAAACTCATCTCTCATTCTCCTTGAATTCACAGCATTTTGCATAATTAAATCCTGTGCAGCCGAGATGTAAGACTTTTTCCACTTTATAGCTCTTTATAAACGTCCTACTTAACATTCAACAGCCTTAATTATTTTTTAGAGGATTGTTACTACCTGTCTTCAAAACTCCATTTTATCATTTAAAGGCAGTAGACAAGGGAAACAGAACAATGGTAGGCTCAATGATTCTATTTCCCCTGAAATAATATTCTTCATTTTTGGAATGTTTATTGATAAGTTCAATAAATAAGTGACTTTCAAAATAAATTCATATTCATTATACAATATGACAATCACTATTTCATTTTATAGTCAGAGTCTGATGAAAGTAGATCTGAAGAAAACTGGCATTTGCCAATACTATCATCTCCCTGAAATGCAAACGTTTATACCCATGTTCAAGATGTGTACTATATTCTTCCCTGAAGTACATAATTTTAATTTTATGTTGTTATCTCAAATATCCTTTCCTAAAGCCCAATCCAATGATGGCTTAATGTATAGATTTTTAGTAAACATATTAGTTTGGTTAGTATAGGATTTTACAGTAGAAAGAGCATCAGTTTGGTGTCAGAGAATTCCTGGCTCTGCATGGGCAATTTACCTAATTTCCCTGAGGTTCAGTTTTCTCAACTATAAAAAGATACTAGCAATAAATAACTTGTAAGGTTTTGTGAGGACTAAATTGAGCAATGAATGGAAAGTCCCAGCTACAGTGTCTGGGCATTAATGATGCTCAATAGAAATTATTATTATAACTTTAAACCCTATATAAAGATGGCAGGCTTCTATTTTTCTGAGAATTTTACAGATTTTCATTTCAGTATAAAAGCCATGTCTATGTTTAGTTATAGACACAGTAACGAATACAATGTAATAAATCAGGTTTTTAAACTAAATAATGTTAGAAAATTATTTAACATTTATTTGGTAACCATTATATATGAATCATGTATGAAAGGCTACATAATGCCTATATTTAATAAATGTCACTCTAGATAGTTTACTAGAAAATGAGTAAACTTCAAAAGCATCTACAAAAAAGACAGAAAAATCACTACCAGCAAACTGATATTAACTAACAGTAAGATTCCAGAGAACTGAGTAGGCCAGAAGGTAAAGCATGTATAGGGTAAGGAATCAGACCCTTTAGCAAACTAAAAGGCATATTCTTCTCCTGCCTCAACCTCTTAAACTAATTACCTAGAAATTACAGCCTGAAGTTAGCCCCTGTCCCATCTCATTAAGATTCCCTACCCCTACATGGAATAAAGGGCTGGAGAAAAGCAAAAGTAACAGGAATAAGAGAACTGAGCAAAGCTATTTCTTTGCTGCCCTATATTCTGAAGAAACTGAGAACCTTGCCTACAGATAGGCATATATTGTTGCCACTGGATCATTTACAAGATTTGACGTATGCAAGTTGCCAAATATGCATGATAACCTTAGGTTTTTCAAAAGATCACTCACCATTCCCTATTATTAAAGAGAAAGATAAAACAGGTGCAGGTTAATATTCCATATTTCCTGTTCCACTAAGTCCTTTGGAAGTATATTAAAAGTTCAACAGTAAAAATTTGGAATTTTAAGAAAGTGATGCCATAATTCTACCTATAATGCAACAACAGATGATATATTTCTCTGAGTTTGTTTTCAATTCTCAGAGAAGATAAGCCTCTTGCATAAAGGGTACCTAATCCCCTATTTGATGGATAATCAGATTGTTTTATGTATCCTTTATTCTAGCCTTTGAATAAAGAAAAAAAAAGATTCAAATTATTGTCCAACTTTCTTGATAATACTTATAAAGCACTTAATTGTTCCATGTTGTGTTTTAAAATCTGTGTCCGGTAGCCCTCAGATTCTGTAGAAGTGCTTTAAGAACTCAAGTGATATTGGTAGCACTCGATGGTGTAACTGAATCAGAGATCTGGGGACTATCTCAACCAATTAACACAGATCTTTTAAAATATTTTGTGTAAATAATAAATAATAAAAATATTCATTTTACCATTATAAAGTAAGAAAAATGAGTTTGTATATCAAGTTCTATCACCATGTACAAATGACATGTTGTGGAAAACTTATTAAAGCCAGAGTTTATAAAATTGATTACTACTATTCCCATATATTCAAACTCTTCTTTGGCTCCTTTAAAAACAAAAGGATGTCTCCTGTAATCCTAGCACTTTGGGAGGTCGAGGTGGGCAGATCACTTGAGGCCAACAGTTCAAGACCAGCCCGGCCAACACGGTGAAACCCTGTCTCTACCAAAAAATACAAAAATTAGCCAGGCATGGTGGCATGTACCTGTAATTCCAGCTACTCGGGAGGCTGAGGCACAAGAATCCCTTGAACCTGGGAGGCGGAAGTTGCAGCGAGCCAAGATCACACCACTGCACTGCAGCCTGGGCAACAGAGCGAAACTCTATCAAAAAAAAAAAAAAATCAGAAGACTAGAAATAACAAGATAAAAGCAGAACTGAAGGAGATAGAAACATGAAAAACCCTTCAAAAATCAATGAATCCAGGAGCTGGTTTTTTGAAAAGATTAACAAAATAGATACACTGCTAGCCAGACTAATAAAGAAGAAAATAGAGAAAAATCTAATAGACACAATAAAAAATGATAAAAGGGATATCACCACTGATCCCACAGAAATACAAACTACCATCAGAGACTATTATAAACACCTCCATGCAAATAAACTGGAAAATCCAGAAGAAATAGATAAATTCCTGGACACATACACCCTCCCAAGTCTAAACCAGGAAGAAGTCAAATCCTTGAACAGAGCAATAACAAGTTCTGAAATTGAGGCAGTAATTAATAGCCTACCAACCAAAAAAAGCCCAAGACCGGACGGATTCACACCCGAATTATACCAGAGGTACAAAGAGGAGCTGGTACCATTCCTTCTGAAACTATTCCAAACAATAGAAAAAGAGGGACTCCTCCCTAATTCATTTTATGAGGCCAGCATCATCCTGATACCAAAACCCGGCAGAGACACAACAAAAAAGGAAAATTTCAGGCCAATATCCCTGATGAACACCAATGCAAAAATCCTCAATAAAATACCGTCAAACCGAATCCAGCAGCACATCCAAAAGCTTATCCACCACAATCAAGTCAGCTTCATCCCTGGGATGCAAGGCTGGTTCAACATATGCAAATTAATAAATGTAATCCATCACATAAACAGAACCAATGACAAAAACCACATGATTATCTTAGTAGATGCAGAAAAGGCCTTTGATAAAATTCAACACACTGTCATGCTAAACACTCTCAATAAATTAGGTATTCACAACGTATCTCAAAATAATAAGAGCTATTTATGACAAACCCACAGCCAATATCACACTGAATGGGCAAAAGCTGGAAGCATTCCCTTTGAAAACCAGCACAAGTCAAGGATGCCCTCTCTCACCACTCCTATCAACATAGTATTGGAAGTTGTGGCCAGGGCAATCAGGCAAGAGAAAGAAATAAAGGGGATTCAAATAGGAAGAGAAGAAGTCAAATTGTCTCTGTTTGCAGATGACATGATTGTACATTTAGAAAACCCCATCATCTCAGCCCCAAATCTCCTTAAGCTGATAAGCAACTTCAGCAAAGTCTCAGGATACAAAATCACAATGTGCAAAAATCACAGGTATTCCTATACACCAATAATAGAGAAACAAAGAACCAAGTCATGAGTGAACTCCCATTCACAATTGCTACAAAAAGAATAAAATATCTAGGAATACAACTTATAAGGCATGCAGACGACCTCTTCTAGGAGAACTACAAACCACTGCTCAATGAAATAAAAGAGGACACAAACAAATGGAAAAACATTCCATCTCATGGATAGAAAGTATCAATATCGTGAAAATGGCCATACTGACCAAAGTAATTTATAGATTCAATGCTACCCCATCAAGCTACCAATGACTTTCTTCACAGAATTAGGAAAAACTACTTTAAATTTCATATGGAACCAAAAATGAGCCCGTATAGCCAAGAAAATTTGAAGCAAAAAGAACAAAGCTGGAAGCATCACGCTACCTGACTTCAAACTATACTACAAGGCCAAGACAGCATGGTACTGGTACCAAAACAGATATGTAGACCAACGGAACAGAACAGAGGCCTCAGAAATAATGCCACACATCTACAGCCATCTGATCTTTGACAAACCTGACAAAAACAAGCAATGGGGAAAGGATTCCCTACTTAATAAATGGTGTTGGGAAAACTGGCTAGCCATATGCAGAAAACTGAAACTGGACCCCTTCCTTACACCTTATACAAAAATTAACTCAAGATGGATTAAAGACTTAAATGTAAAACCTAAAACCATAAAAATCCTATAAGAAAACCTAGGCAATACCATTCAGGACATAGGCATGGGCAAAGACTTCATGACTAAAACACCAAAAGCAATGGCAACAAAAGCCAAAATTGACAAACTGGATCTAATTAAACTAAAGACCTTCTGCACAGCCAAAGAAATGATCATCAGAGTGAACAGGCAACCTACAGAATGGGAGAAAATTTTTGCAATCTGTCCATCTGACAAAGAGCTAATATCCAGAATCTACAAGGAACTTAAACAAATTTGCAAGAAAAAAACAAACAACCCCATCAAAAAGTGGGTGAAGGACATGAACAGACACTTCTTAAAAGAAGACATTTATGAGGCCAATGAACATATGAAAAAAAGCTCATCATCACTGGTCATTAGAGAAATGCAAATCAAAACCACAATGAGATACCATCTCACACCAGTTAGAATGGTGACCATTACAAAGTCAGAAAACAACAGATGCTGGAGAGGATGTGGAAAAATAGAACATTTTTACACTGTTGGTGGGAGTGTAAATGAATTCAACCATTGTGGAAGACAGTGTGGTGATTCCTCAAGAATCTAGAACCAGAAATACCATTTGACCCAGCAATCCCATTACTGGGTATATACCCCAAGGATTATAAATCACTCTACTATATAGACACATGCACACGTATGTTTATTGCGGCACTGTTCACAATAGCAAAGACTTGGAACCAACCCAAATGCCCATCAATGATAGACTGGATAAAGAAAATGTGGCACATATACACCATGGAATACTATGCAGCCATAAAAAAGGATGAGTTCACGTCCTTTTCAGGGACATGAACGAAGAAGGAAACCGTCATTCTCAGCAAACTAACACAGGAACAGAAAACCAAACATCGCATGTTTTCACTCATAAATGGGAGTTGAACAATGAGAACACATGAACACAGGGAGGAGAACATCACACACCAGGGCCTGTCGGGGGTTGGGAGGCTAGGGGAGAGATAGCATTAGGAGAAATACCTAATGTAGATGACGGGTTGATGGGTGCAGCAAACCACCATGGCATGTGTAGACCTATG
Organism: Homo sapiens; assembly: GCF_000001405.40. Lineage (NCBI taxonomy): Eukaryota > Metazoa > Chordata > Mammalia > Primates > Hominidae > Homo > Homo sapiens. Next base: position 86,181,247 of record NC_000023.11, on the reverse strand, counting down.
TAACAAACCTTCACGTTCTGCACATGTATCCCAGAACTTAAAGTATAATTTGAAAAATAGATAGATAGATAGATAGATAGATAGATAGATAGACAGTCAGACATATGACATCTAACAGGGACATAGCCAGTTCTTTAGGGGTTTTTTTAATCATATGACATGATAATGCACCATCTATGTTTGGGGAAATGTAATAATCATGTTAGTTTGAGAAAAGTGAGATAAAGCTTCATGAGGTAGCAATGGAATAAGTTCTAAGGGACTCACCCTTCACTTCCACACGCTAACTTGGCCCTTTGGAATTTGGTGCAACCATGGAGGCAATGTTGTCTTCACTGTAGAAATCTATAAAAAACTATCCTCCACAGGAATGCATGTGCCAAAAATTCTCCAGAACAATTTTCAGAAAGTCAACCTTGGAAAGTTCAATACGTTAGACTCATTGGCTTCGATTATCAAAATAAATAGATTAAGCATTTTTCCCTGTAAACACAGATAGACTGTAGTTTGATGCCTACCCTTAAAAAAGAAAAGATGTAAAACAAATGACTGTAACCAGCTGGCATCAATATAGTAAGCGTCTGCCACACTTCAAGAGAATAGCAGCTGGTGGTGATCAGTGGGTCTTCTTAGTGGCCTGAACCAGCACATGTAAGAGAATAAGCTAAACTAGCAATACTAAGAGAATGACAGCACTGGTCTCAAGAACTTGAGAAAATTTATCTGTTCCAATCCACAAATTTTTGTTTATGTTCTATTTTGGATACATTTCTTGAAATTTTGTTCTCAAATGCCTCGGGAGATGGTTTGCATTATATTTTTTAAAATACTCCAGAGTTGACTGTAAAAATGTTAAAGCACTGAATTCAAATCAATAAGACTATATTAAAAGGACCTGAACATTATGATTGCTGACTCTCACAAATGTACCCATAAGAAAAAATTTTGAGAGGTTCTAAAACATCTACAGTAAACTTATATTATTTCTATGGCCTGATTTACTGATTTATCATGATTTATTTCACATTACTATAAGAACCATATATATATATATATATATATATATATATACGGTTTAGCATGGTTGCTAGGGGACATTAATAGTATTGTTTATCATTATTATGGTTACTATTAATATAATAATTATGTTGGATAAAGACACAATATATGTATTAAATGTAATAATTATGTCCGCAACTAAATAGGACTAATGTGCTAAAAACTCTTCACAATCAGTGTCTGGAGGCAGAAGCACAAAATCAAGGCAAGATCTTGCAAATACATATTTGGAATGATGCTTTGGAACTGAATCCTGAATCCCTCAGTAAGGGGACTATATTTGTTCTGGGTTTGCATGTCCTGACTGATTAATTTCTCAGGAAAAAAGAAAGGACTGCTTTTCGTTAAGCAATCTTTTCTTTAAAGGAATAGTCTGAACAACTTAGTGTATGTTCACAATCAAGGTGCAATCTCATTGCTTTACCGTATATTATCCTGCATGGATTAAAAGAGCAAGCCAGCTCCTTCATTGGGTGAGATAATAAATATCCTACTTTCCTTGAGTGCTCAAAAATGCAGGAAATATAACATTTGCCTTACTAAAAATGTGAAGTTAATATCAAAAAACTTGTCATCAGAGATAAGGAATTATATTTCCTGCCAATAGATGACATGTGTCAGGTATATGGATAGTACGTATTAGCCTTCCCACCTCTTCTTGTGTCAAATACATAGATTCATCTACTACACATTACTGTACCTTCAGTGGTTTCATTGTTAGCTCCCATTTTCTGCTTCCTGCATTCTTCTCTCTCCTGATTCAAAACCATTGCTTTAACACATCATTCCTAATTAGATGATTAGTGCTTAGAAGGGCAGGAGATAAGTTATTTGCATAATTTAATCATAAAAAGAAGGTAAAGATACAGATTTTGCTGTTCGTTCATACAACTATCTTCTTCAGCCTGGGGGGCTGAGATATTAATGTGATTAAACAGTATTTCTGCAAACAGGCAACTGTGTGTGCCCTATTAAAGCAAGGCTGGAGGCAAATGAAAAATTAATTTTAGAAGACAATCAATTTTATTCTACATGACTGTAATAAATAACGGTCCATCTGCAGACAACTCATTAAGCCTTGGGAGGGTACATGTGTCACAAACTCTAAATGACACACAAGACTGAATTTTCCACAACAGAACTAGTAATAAATGGCCTACCAGCTGCCATATCAGCCTAGAAAGTCAACATACAAGAATTTCCTAGAAAATGAAGTGCACACAGTGTCATTCAGTCAACCAGTTAATTTAGTCTTGGTTGCAAACATTTCTGAAAACTGTTTCATTTTATTCTGCAATTTGCTCTTTTTCTTGTGTTATGAATGTACATATATGTGTGTGTTCACATTTCTTGGTGTGAGCACCAATTTCAGAAATAAGAGCTAATGTTCTATGATCTTATTGTGTCAAGCACTTTATGTACATGAGGCTTATTAATCTTAAAAACCTCATGATTTATGTAGCTAATATTATTCCCATTTTTAGATGAAAAAACTGAGGCTTAGATGGTCATACATCTAGAAAGTAGAAAGCATTAATATCAGAACAACTGTGCCTGAGACAAAACAGTAATTTTCTAGGCTTCTATTTAGGGGTATGTTATTCTGACATACCCTTAAAGTATAGCAATAGATTTTCTTAAAATATGAACACTTCCCAGAATAAATACATTTAATTATAATAAATCATAGTTACACTGTCAAACCAACAAACTGAAAGCATTTTCAGTACTTACATCCATGTACTATGTTTGGCACTGTGAATGATAAAATGACATATCAAACTGTTCCTGAAGTTGAAGAATTTACAAGCTAGTTTTCGGAGAGAGAAAACATAAACACTTTAAATCCTAACAATTTATACAAAAAAAGAGATAGGCTGTCTGCAGATAAAAGTTCACAGAAGCAAGGGATCAACCACGCACCATGAGAGAAGTCTTGATAGAGAAGATAAGACTTCAGCTAGATCTTTAAAGATGGTTGTTCTGAGCAAAAGCTTGAGTAGGGCAATTACTCCTAGAAAGGAATCACAACCTCACATTTTCTGATAACAGTTTCCTCAGGCAATTACATCAGTGCACTTCCATTCAGTTTTAACAAACCTGCCAATGATTCTTCCTTGATAAAATATTCATTTGAAGTTCTAATGTCATCGGATTTCAAATATCAGGAAGGATGAGTACTTTGTTTTTTTGTTTGTTTGTTTGTTTTACTTTGCTTTTGTATAGTAGAGGTCAGGGTCATAGTGCCTCAAACAGTCTTTCTACAACACTTAGGACAACCTATCCTGATTGAGATAACCCCGTGTTTAGTGCATACATATATCGCTTTTCAATGCTAGATAAAGAAGGGAAACAAGATTTCTTAAATCAATCCCACAAAACTAAAATTTTAACAATAAAACTGCCTTCTTTCTCCCTAAACAAGAGTCTTAATAGCAGATGTTACTACATATGGCTTCCCTCACTATTCTCCAGCTGCAGAAATTAAAATTCACTCAGAATCAGTGATAGGATCTAATGGGAGTCTGCAAATGCTGACCAAAACCTCCTTTCCAAATACTCTATTAAGATGCCAGGTGAATGACTGGACAAGCCCCACCAGAGAAAATTTGTTTCCTAGGTAATCAGCAAGGAGTCAAGATTGAGATAGCCAACTTCTCAACTTTGCTCTGCAATGATTTCACATGAGAACCTGATTTAAAGCTTAACTATTTCTTCATCACCAAACCTCTAAGGTCACAGAAATCCCAAGAGTAGTCAAAGACTAGCTGTGAGAAGTGGTGACTACAGCAAGAGCTGTTTAAGTAGCTTCCATGTGAGGTTAATAATGAATGACTCAGAAAACAGCAGGTGTCAAAAATATATACTGATTTGGTTTCTGCCACTTTGAATGCATTATGAAGCATCTATGAGTAAAGGATCATGACTATTTCTAAGTTCTTCACTGTATCTAACAGATTTGTAGTACTCTTTATAAGATAGTTATGTGCTGCCACAGGGTGACTACAGTCAACAATAATTTATTGTACATTTCAGATTAACTAAGAAAGTATAATCGGATTATTTGTAACACAAAGAAAGGACATATGCTTGAGGTGATGGATACCCCATTTACTCTGATGTGATTATTATCCATTGTACGCCTGTATCAAAATGCCTCATGTACCCCATTACACACCTAATATGTAGCCACGAAAATTAAAACCAAAAACTTTAAAATAGTAATGTGCTAAAACAAGAGTGAGAACTTAATTTACTCTTCCTGAATATATGACGTACTAATAAGATCAACAAACACACCAATAACATTGCCAGTATGAAATCAGTTTATAATAAATTACAGTCTTCCATTGGAAAATAATGTTAACACTAAATGATGTAAAGCAAATATATTCAATTATTTGGAAAATGTTATTTTCACAATATTCTTCAGACAGCTTCACTGAAGCACAGCATGCCCATGACAAATCAGAGATTATTAGCATAAATATTCAAACCTTCATATCATGGTGAATGTGGATTAGTTTGAAAACAATACCTTCAGTCAAGTTCTCAGAGTTCTTAATTCCAACAACTTTAATTTTTAAATTTTAGAAATTAAGAATCATTGTTTAACAACGTAAAATCTGATAGTATTATTATATATAGTACAAAATTTTAGATACATTGACCCTCTCTTAATCCTTAGCAACTTCAATAAACAATGCACACGTGGAGGATATTACCAACACTCTAGCCTTTCAGTTTCTTGACCTCCTCTCCTCCAAGGGTCTTGTCCTCTGCGCTTCAGTCACTCAAGCCCATATCCTAACCTTTTTAATTACCAATAACTGCAACTCTTCCATATTCTTAATTTGGTGCATCCTACTCTCTGACCACCAATATCTCTTTTATTCATTCCTTCTAGTACTCCAACAATCCTTTGGCCCCTTCTTGGAATTCCAGTTCATTGAAAATACCATCACTGCCTCTCACCTCCTTGATATCTTCTTTCTACCTAAATGATTTAAAATGTATTCTCATTCACTACATCACCTTTTGCATAAACCCTCAATTCTTCTGCCCCTCTTGCTTTGTTATACTCATACTGCTTAGCAAAACCACAATTCTAATTAAATACTATTATTTGCCTACTTTGCACCAGTACTGACACAGCTTTACGTGGTGAAATTAAAACACACAATCACATTGACCATTTTGAATTTATGACCACGACCTTAATGGGCACTTAATGTTGCCTGGCAATCATACTAAAGTTTTTTTAATAATTTACTCTAATACTTACCCAGATAGCTATTTCACAGCAATACCTCCTTTCCAATCCTCACTTTGAAATGATGACCTTGTTGCCCACTTCATTGAGAAAATTGAAACAATTAGAAGAGGACTTCCACAGCGACCCAATACTGTATCAACTAGAATCTCCATCTATATACTCTGCCTTCCCACCTGTTAATGTAGATGCACTAATCTTGCTTCTGTCTAAAGGAAGATACTTCTACTTGTACATCGGATCCCATCCACTCTTTCCTATTCAGGAATATCACTTCAGCAATACTCTTCTGTCACACAACATTAATTTCATTTTTACTTGATTATTCCTAATAGCATATGCTGTTATGTCTTCCACCATGATAAAAAAATAACCTCATGACCCCCTCCCCTCACATCCACTGTTTTCACACTACTTCCTGCCAACCCTAAGTTATTTGCTATCTTTGCAGCAAATCCCTGGAAAGAGTTGTTGATACTCCACTTCCTCTCCTCTTATTCTTTCTTAAACACATGCCACTCAAACTTTTCATTCCCACTTCTCTATCAAAACTTTTCTCATAGAGATTACCATTGACTTTCATTGCCACATCCAATTGCCAATTCTCATGTGACTTATTAACAGCATTTGACACAGCTGATTATTCCCTCATTGTGGATATGTTGTTTTTGATTAGCTTTCAGAACATAATTCTCTCTTACTTTTCCTCTTATCTCACTGGATGTTCTTTGTCAGGCTCTTTGCTGATTCCTCCTCTTCTCTCTGATCTCTTTAGGCCAGTGTGACCCAGGACTCAGTCCTTGAAACTCTACTCTTTTCTATTTACAGTCATTCCTCTCCTAAGCATATATCTCCTGTCCAGACATCTATCCCAAGCACTGAACTTGTATATCTAATGCCTACTCTACATCTCTACTTAAAGAGGTAAAAGACACTGGGCATGGTGGTTTACACCTGTAATCCCAGTGCTTTTGGAGGCTGAGGTGGGAGAATCACTTGAGCCCAGGAGTTCAAGATCAGCTTGGGCAAAATAGCAAGACCTCTTTCTCTACACAAAAAAATTAAAAATAATTAACTGGGGATGGTGGCATGTACCTGTAGTCCTAGCTGCTCAGGGGGCTGAGGCAGGAGTATAACTTGAGCCCAGGAGTTCAAGGCTGCAAGGAACTATGATGGATCATGCCACTGCACTCCAGCCTGGGCAACACAGCAAGAACCTGTCTCTAAAAAGAAAAAGAAAAGAATTGAAGAAAGCTTTTCAAACATGCTTATAATTTATGTCTAATAGTTTGCATACTGATCCCATAAAGACTACATTTATCTTCACACCTCATCACAGAAGTTTCTTAGTTCAATATTTATTCTACAAATGTTTGCTGACCATCAACTATGGGCAAAAGGCTCTGTCCTATGGAGAATACAAAGATCATCAACCATAGTATCTGAGATCAAGAATATTACAATCTACATAGGGAGATTTTTAAAAATAGGCTGGGCATGGTGGCTAACACCTGTGATCCCACCACTTTGGGAGGTGAAGGCAGGAGGATCGCTTGAGGCCAGAAGTTCAAGAACAGCCTGGGCAACATAGTGAGACTCAGGTCTCTAAAAAATAAATTATTTAAATTACCTGGCCATGGTGATGTTTGCCTGTAGTCCCAGCTACTCAGGAGGCTGAGGCAGTATGATCGCTTGAGCTCGGGAATTCAAGGCTACAGTTAGCGATGATCATGCCACTGCACTCCAGCCTGGATGACAGAGCAAGACCCTGTCTCAAAAAAAAAAAAAAAAAAAAACAACTGTACTCTTGAACTCTGCCACCTGACCTACTCTACCTCCACCTTCCCCCCCAACTAAATGAAGGAAACTTCAGCCTCCCAGTTGTATATGCCAAATTCCTGGAGTTGTTCGTGACTCTTTTCTTTCTCTCACACCCAGCATCTAATTCATCATGAAGTGCTGTTGGTTCTACCTTCAAAACCTATCCAGACTCTGACCAATTGTTATCACCTCTACTCTACCACTATGGTCTAAGCCATTGCCATCTCTCTCATTGTTCACTGCAATAGCATCCTGCTTCTACCTTTGCCTTATATGAGCCTATTCTCAACCTAGCCAGAGCAATCCTTTCAAAATCTAAGTCAGATCCTCTTATACTCCTGCTTAAAACACTGCAATAATCCATTTCATTCAGGAAAAAACCAAAGTCTTCAAAATGGCCTAAAAGGATCCATGTGGCCAACTCCCCAATATTACCATTATGATCTCTTTCCTACTCCATTATGAACACTCTCCCCTCATTCACTCTTGAAGGCTTCTTAACATTCCTCAAACCTTCCAGGTATGCTCCTGGCTTCTGGTCCAACTGTTCTCTCAGTTTGAGACACTTTCCCCAGATTCTACTTGCCTAACTCCTCTCCCTTTCAAGACTGTGAACAAATCTCACATACTTAATGAAGCCTACAATGCCCATCCTATTTAAAACTGTAACTGACTCCAATCCTCCCATACCCTTACTTTGCTCTACTTGCTCTATTTTTCCATAGCACTTACCACTTCTAACATGTAATATAATTTCCTACTTTGGTATGCATATTGTTTATTGTCTTCCCACATCCACAATACCATACACTAGAATATAATCTCTTTTTCAACGGAAGAGGTCTTTGCCTGTTTCTTTTTAATAGATGTATCCCAAGCACCTAGAAGAGTGCCTGACACAGAGTACACCCGATAACTATTTGATGAGTAAATGAATGAATGATAATCTTTTTTATATGTGTATATGTTTTCTCTACAATAAGATTAAAATCTTTCTGAAAGCATCCACAGATCCTAGCATAGTATTTTGGACACAAGGGACAATTCATATTTTCCTAGTAACTGGATCCCAGTTTTATACTTAAATTTTATGCTTCAATATTATGCTGTTGTCTCTAAACACTTTCTTGAATTATAAGTCCTTTTACTTTTTCTTTCAAACTATTAAGTTTTTGTTGATTCCCAAAACCTTTCTGTAAATGCATGTGGAATTGAGTCTCCATTCAAGGGATCTTTGTTAGTGTATTTCTGAAGACACTATCATTAAAAGGCAGTATTTCCTATCAGGACATGCACCTTAAAGAAATTACAGTGAAATTCCTGTGTAGTGCTTCTCTCTTCTTCTACTTTGTTTATCCCTAATTCCCACCACTAGATTTTCCATAATTCCCTTACTATATAGAACAATCCACCACCTAATTAAATTTGTTTGCTCAAGCCCATCATTCAAGAGACAGCATAGAGAGGATAATGTACCAGAGGAGGCACAACAGAAGACTTAGATTCAAGAATTGGCTCTGCCTGTAATAGACTGTGAGGCCTCAGGTAATTCATTTTACTTGCCTACATTTCCATTTTCTCACTTACATTTCAGATGGGGTGACCTGCCTCATAGGATTGTTGTGAGAATAACCTCAGATAGTGTGTGAATACACCTTGCAGCCTGAGAACTGCTGCAGACCATGAGATACTATTACTTCCTAGAAGCATTATCGGCTTCATTATCACAATGGATGATGCTGATTTAACATTGAGTAAAAAAAAGTCTAAATGAGATTAAGTGATCTCCAAACATGCCTTGTTGTAATCAGCCATTTATTTATAAAAATTTAGAAATTTCACCACAAAATTATAAAAACAGACACTTCTAAGGATCAGATTTAATGAGCCAGTATATGTGAAAGCACTATATAAACTATAAACCTTGATAGTAATTTAAACTTTCAGATATAGTTTTAGACAAAAGGGTTGTAGTAAATACTTAAACTTTACTTAATTACAAAAGTAACAAAAATGGCATGCTGGTGTTCTTGAATTCAAATTGTAATGTTCATTAAATAACCTCGAATGCAGTTGTTCAAATTACTCCCTGAAATGCGAACTTAGTTAGTACTGAATACAATAAGAACTTCACACGTGTACCCAAAGGCAAATTTTAATCCTTTTAAAAAAACCTCATTCTCAAGGCAAAGCAAGGTAGCCGAATAGAAAGCTATGCAAGTTAACAACTATCTACACAGAAAAAAAACCTTCATAAGAACCAAACATCAAGTGAGCACTCATAGTATCTAATTTTAACTTCATATCACTGAAAGAGACACCGAAGAGATAGAAAAAAGTCCTGAATTGCTAATGCTACCCTTCCCCAATCCCCCAGCAGCAACAGCAGCATGTGGGTCAGAGAGCATCTCTGGGTGCTGGGAGAGGGAGAACACAGCAATTGTGAGGCACTGAACTCAGTGCTGTCATGTTAGAGCAGACAAATCCCAGACCAAACTCGTCTTACAGCTGCCCATAGAGGGCGCATTTAAACCAGCCCTAGTAAGAGGGGAATCCCCAATCCCAGCTGTCCAAACTTGAGCCATCAGCAAACCTCACCACTGAGGGCCAAAGTGCTCTCAGTCTCTAAGTAACCTTGAAAGGCAATCTAGGCCATAAAGACTGCAACACTTAGGCAAGTCCTACTGCTGAACTAGGCCCAGAGACATGGACTGGGGGTGGTTGCGGGGGAAGGCATGGGCATGACACACTGAGAGACCAACTGGGACAGCCAAAGGAGTGCTGGCATCACCCCTCCCATAACCCCAGGCTGCATGGCTCCTGGTTCTGAGAGACACCCCTTTCCTTCCACTTGAGGAGAGGAGAGGGAAGAGTGGAAAGGACTTTGTCTTGCATTTAGAATACCAGCTCAGCTACAGCAGGATAGGGAACCATTCACCATGTGAAAAGAAAATAAATCTTGGGGCCCCAAAATCATTAAACTAAAAGGAAAAGTCAAGCTGGGAGCTGCATAGGGCCAACCAGCCTCCCATTCTATTCAAAGTCATCTCTCTGCTCACTTAGATAGATGCATATCTGATTGCCTCCTTTGAACAGGCTGATCAGAAATTCAAAAGAATGCAACCCTTTGTCTCTTACCTAGCTATGATCTGGAAGTCCCCTCCCTACTTCAAGTTGTCCTGCCTTTCTGGACTGAACCAATGTACCTCTTAAATATATTGATTGAGGTCTCACGTCTCCCTAAAATGTAGAAAACCAAGCTCTGCCCTTATCACCTTGGGCACATGTCATCAGGACCTCCTGAAGCTGTGTCACAGGCGCATGCTTAGCCTTGGCAAAATAAACTTTCTAAATTGACTGAGACCTGTCTCAGATATTTTGGGTTAACAACGACAAGCTGACTAAAGAGTCCTTGGGACTTAAGAGAACATCAACAGTAGTCTGGCAGTCCTCCTTGTGGCCTAGGGTGGCAGCAGCTATGGAGTGAGCCTCCTTTGCATTGGCAAAGGGGCAAAAAGAATGGGAAAGACTAAGTCTTGTGATTTGAGGGCCAGCTCAGCCACAATACAATAGAACACCAGGTAGACTTCTAAGGGTTTTGACTGTAGTACCTGAATCCCTGACAGCACCTCTGGGCCCACACTAGGCCAAGAGGACCTTGCCGTCCTGAAGGGAAGAACACAAGTCATGCTGGCTTTGTCACCCGTTGAATGTAGAACCCTAGGGCCTTAAGCGAACAGAGACAGTAGCCAGGGAGTTGTTACAGCCGAAATTGGGTAAGAACCAGTGCTGTGATGACTTCAGATCTGACCCAGTGCAGTCATAGCGGTAGTGGCAACAGGGGTGCTTGTGTCACTCCACCCCCAGCTTTAGGTGGCTCAGAACAGACAGAGAGAGAGAGATGCTTTTTGTTTGGGAAAAAGTAAGAGAAAAGAACAAGAGTCTGTGCCTGGTAATCCAGAAAATTCTCCCAGATCTTGTCGAAGACCATCAAGGCAGTACCTCTACGAGTCTGCAAGAACCACAGCAGTACTAGACTTGGGGTGCCCTTGAAGCAGACACAGCTTAGATCACAACACCCAAGTCTTTTCAAGTGCCTGGAAAGCCATCCTTCTTGGGATGGACAAATAAGCCCAGTGAAGACTACAACAAATACCTAACTCTTCAACACCCACACATCAAAGAACATCTATTAGCATCAACATCATCCAGGAAAACATGACTTCACCAAATGAACTAAATAAGGCACCATGGACCAATTGTGGAGAAACAGGTATGTGACCATTAACATAGAGAATTCAAAATAGCCGTGTTGAGGAAACCCAAAGAAATTCAAGATAATGCAAAGAAGGAATTCAGAATTCTATCAGATACATTTAACAAAGAAATTAAAACAATTGAAAATAATCAAGCACAAATTTTTGAGTTGAAAATGCAATCGATCAAGCAGAAGAAAGACAGTGAGCTTGAAGACAGGCTATTTGAAAATACACAGAGGAGACAAAAAAAGAGAATACGAAACAATGAAGCATACCTACTGGATCTAGAAAACAGCATTAAAAGGGCAAGTCTAAGAGCTACTGGCCTTAAAGAGAAGACAGGGGTAGAGATAAGTGTAGAAAGTTTATTCAAAAAGATAATGGAGAATGTCTCAAACCTAGAGAAAGATATCAATATACAAGTACAAGAATGTTATAGAACACCAAGCCAATGTAACACAAAGAAGACTATCTCAATGCATTTAATAATCAAACTCCCAAAGGAAAAAGAAAGGATCCTAAAAGCAGTAAGAGGAAAAAATGACATAAAATGGAGCTGCAATATGTCAGGCAACAGACTATTCAGTGGAAACCTTACAGGCCGGGAGAAAGTGGCAGAACATATTTAAAGGGCTGAAGGAAAAATGCTTTTACCATAGAATAGTATATCCAGTAAAAATATCCTTCAAACACAAAGGAGAATTAAAGACTTTCCCAGACAAACAAAAGCTGAGGGATTTTATCAACATCAGACCTATCTTATAAGCAATGCTAAAGGGAATACTTCAATCAGAAAGAAAAGGACATTAAAGAACAATAAGTAAGGGTTTGGAAGGTACAAAATGCACTGGTAATAATAAGCACACAAAAAAACACAGAATATTGTAACACTGTAAATGTGGTGTGTAAACTACTATTATCCTAAGTGAAAAGACTAAACAACGAACCAATGAAAAACAATAACACAACATTTCAAGACATAGTCAGTACAATAAAATATAAATAGAAAAAACAAAAGGTTAAAAAGCAAGGGGACAAAGTTACGGCATAGGGTTTTTATTAGTTGTCTTTTTTTAATGCAAAGTGTAGTTTTTTCAGCTTAAAATAATGGGTTATAAGATAGTATTTGCAAAGCTCATGGTAAACTCAAACCAAAAGACATGCAAAAGAGACACAAAAAATAAAAAGCAAAAAACTGAATTATATCACCGAGAAAGTCACCTTACTAGACGAAGAAAGGAAGGAAAAAAAAGACAAGAAAACAAATAACAAAATGGCAGAAGTCCTTATCAAGAACACTGAATGTAAATAGACTAAACTCTCTGATCAAAACACATAGAGTGTTTGAATGGATGAAAAAACAAGACCCATTGATCCGTTGCCCACAAGAAACACACTTCACCTATAAATACACACAAAGACTGAAGCTAAAGGGATAGGAAAAAATATTCCATGTCAATGGAAACCAAAGAAGCAAGGGAGTCACTATATTTATATCAGACAAAATAAATCTCAAGACAAAATCTATAAAAAGAGACAAGGAAGGTCACTATATAATGATAAAGGGGTCAATTCAGCAAGAGGATAAAACAATTGTAAATAACTGTGCACCCAATAATGGAGCATCCAGCCATATAAAGAAAATATGATTAGAGCTAAACAGAGAGATAAACCCAAATTGAATAATAAGATTTCAACACCTTACTTTCAACATTGCACAGATCTTCCAGACAGAAAATCCAAAATGAAACATCAGACTTAATCTGCACTTTAGACCAAATGGATCTAATAGACAATTGTAGAATATTTCATCCAAGAGCTGCGGGATACACATTATTTTCCTCAGCACATGGATCATTCTCAAGGACAGACCATATGTTAAATCACAAAACATGTCTTAAAACATTCAAAAAACTTGAAATAATATCAAACATCTTCTCTGACTACAATGGAATAAAACTAGAAATTAATATCAAGAAGAATTTTGGAAACTATACAAATACATGGAAATTAAGCAATATACTCCTGAACGACCAGTGGGTCAATAAAGAAATTAAGAAGCAAACTAAAATTGTACTGAAACAAATAATAGAACCACAAAATACCAAAACTATGGGATTCAGCAAAAGCAATAATAAGAGGCAAGTTTATAGCTGTAAGTGCGTACATCAAAAAAGAAGAAAAACTTCAAATAAACTATCTAACATTACACCTAAAAGAATTTAAAAAGCAAGAGCAAATCAAACTCAAAATTAGTAGAGGAAAATAAATAATGAAAATTGGGAAAGAAATAAAATTGAAATTTTAGAAAACAAAAGATCTATAAAACAAAAAAATTGATTTGTTAAACAAAACTGACAAACCTTTAGCCAGACTAATTAAGAAAAAAAGAGAGAAAATCCCAATAAATACAATTAGCAATGAAAAAAGGAGACATTACAATGGATACTGCAGAAATTCAAAGGATCATTCATGGCTACTATGAGCAACTATATGGCAATAAATTGGAAAATCTAAAAGAAATGAACAAATTCCTAGATACATACATACCAAGATTGAAACAGAAAGAAATCCAAAACCTGAACAGTTCAATAACAAGTAATGATATTGAAGCAGTAATAAAAATTCCCCCAGTGAAGAAAAGCTTGGGACGTGAAGCCTTCACTGATAAATTCTACCAAACATTTTAAAAAGAACGAAACCCAATACTACTCAAACTATTCCGAAAAATAGAAGAGGAGGGAATACTTCCAAACTGAATTTATGAGGCCAGTATTAACCTGATACCAAAACCAGACAAAAACACATCAAAAAATGAAAACTACAATCCAATATCTCCTATGAATTTGATGCAAAAATCCTCAGCAAAATACTATCAAAACAAATTCAGGAATACATTAGAAAGATCAACATGACCAAATGGGATTTATCGCTGGGATGCAAGGCTGGTTCAGCATATACAAATCAATCGTTTTGACACATCATGTCAACAGAATAAAGAATAAAAACTATGTAATCATTTCAAATAATGCTAGAAGAGTATTTGGTGAGTCCAACATCCCTTCATGGTAAAAAGCCTCAAAAAACTGGGGATAGAAGGAATATATCTCAACAAAATAAAAGCCATATATGACAGACCCACAGCTAGTATCATACTAAATGGGGAAAAACTGAAAGCTTTTCTTTTAAGATCTGGAACACGACAATGATGCCCACTGTCATCACTGTTATTCAACATAGTACTGGAAGGCCTAGCTAGAGCAATCAGACAAGAGAAAAATATAAAGGGCAGCCAAATTAAAAAGGGAGAAGTCAAATTATCCTTGTTTGCAGATGATATGATCTTATATTTGGAAAAACATAAAGACTCCACAAGAAAGTTGTTAGAACTGATAAACAAATTAAGTAAAGTTACAGAATACAAAATCAACGTACAAATATCAGTAGCATTTCTATATGCCAACAGTGAACAATCTGAAAAAGAAAAAATTCTAAAACTTATATGGAACCACAAAAGACCCAGAATAACCAAATCTATTCTAACCAAAAAAGCAAAACTAGAAGAGTTTTATTACCTTACTTCAAATTATACTATAGAGCTATAAGGAACCAAAACAGCATGTTACTGGCATAAAAACAGACATATACACCAATGGAACAGAATAGAGAACCCAGAAACAAATCCACAAACCTACAGTAAACTCATTTTCAACAAAGGTGCCAAAAATATACCCTGGGGAAAAGACGATCTCTTCAATAAAGAGTGCTGGGAAAGGTGGAAATGTATATACAGAGGAATGAAACTAGATTCCTATGTCTCACCATATGCAAAAATCAAATCAAAATGGATTAAAGACTTAAACCTAAGACTTTGAACTGTGAAACTGCTACAAGAAAACTTTGGGAAAGATCTCCAGGATATTGGTCTGGGCAAAGATTTCTTGAGCAATACCCCACAAGTATAGGCAACCAAAGCAAAAATAGACAAATGGGATTGCATCCAGTTAAAAAGCTTCTGCACAGCAAAGGATACATTTAACAAAGTGAAGAGACAACCCACAAAATAGAAGAAAATATTTGCAAACTACCCATGTGACAAGGTATTAATAATCAGAATATATAAGGAGCTCAAACAACTATATATGAAAAAAATCTAATAATCCAATCAAAAAAATAAGAAAAAGATTTGAGAAGACATTTCTCAAAGGAAGACATACCAATGGCAAACAGGCATATGAAAAGGTGCCCAACATCATTTGTCATCAGAGAAATGCAAATCGAAATTACAATGAGATACCCTCTCACCCCAATTTAAATCGCTTATATCCAAAGGACAGGCAATAATAAATACTGGTGAGGATGTAGAGAAAAGGGGACCTTCGTACATTGTTGGCGGAAATGTAAATTAGTACAATAACTATGGAGAACAATTTGGAGGGTCCTCAAAAATCTAAAATTTGAGCTACCGTATGATCCCGCAATACCACTGCAGAGTATATACACAAAAGAAAGGAAATCAGTATATCGAAGAGATACCTGCACTCCCTTGTTCATTACAGCACTGTTTACGATAGCTAAGATTTGGAAGCAACGTAAGTTCCATCAATGGATGAATGGATAAAGAAAATGTGGTACACAATTGCCCCAAAAAGAATAAAATACCTACGAATACAGTGAACCAGGGAGGTGAAAGGTCTCTACAATGAGAATTAGAAAACACTGCTCAAAAAAAATCAGAAAAGATACAAATGGAAAAACATCCCATGCTTATGGGTCAAAATAATCAATATCATTAAAATGGCCACAATGCCCAAAGCAATTTACAGATTCAATGCTATTCCTATCAAACTACCAATGACGTTCTTCACAAAACTAGAAAAAAAAACTATTTTAAAATTTATATAGAACCAAAAAGGAGCCCAAATAGCCAAGGCATTCCTAAGTAAAAAGAACAAAGCCGGAGGCATCACATTACCCAACTTCATACTATACTACAGGACTACAGTAACCAAAACAGCATGGTACTGGTACAAGAACAGACACACAGACCAATGGAACAGAATACAGAACCCAAAAATAAGGCCTCACACCTACAACCACCTGATCTTTGACAAACCTAACAAGGACAAGCAATGAGCAAAAGACTCCCTATTCAATAAATGGTGCTGGGATAACTGGCTAGACATATGCAGAAGACTGAAGCTGGACCCCCTCCTTACACCATATACTAAACTCAACTCAGGATGGATTAAAGACTTAAATGGAAAACCCAAAACTATTAAAATCCTGGAAGACAACCTAGTCAATACCATCCTGGACATAGGAACGGGCAAAGATTTCATGACAAAGACACCAAAGGCAATCGCAACAAAAGCAAAAATTGACAAGTGGAATCTAATTAAATTTAAGAGCTTCTGCACAGCAAAAGAAACTATCAACAGCATAAACAGACAACCTACAGAATGGGAGAAAATATTCACAAACTATGCATTTGATAAAGGTAATATCAAATATCTATAAGGAACTTAAGCAAATTTACAAGAAAAAAACAAACCACTCCATTAAAAACTGAGCAAAGGACCTGAACAGACACTTTTCAAAAGAAGACAGACATGTGGCCAACAAGCATATGAAAAAAGCTCAATATCACTGATCATTAGAGAAACCAAATCAAAACCACAATGAGATACCATCTCACACCAGTCAGAATGGCTATTACTAGAAAGCAAAAAATAAATAAATAAATAACATGCTGGTGAGGTTGCGGAGAAAAGGGAACACTTATACACTGTTGGGCAGAGTGTAAATTAGTTCAACCATTGTGTAAAACAGTTTGGTGATTCCTCAAAGAGCGAAAAGCAGAACTACCATTTGACCCAGCAATCCCAGTACTGGGTATATAACCAACGGAATATAATCTGTTTTATTATAAAGACACATGCACGTGTCTGTTCATTGCAGCGCTATTCACAATAGCAAAGACATAGAATCAACATACATGCCCATCGATGACAGAAATGGATTAAAAAAAAGTGATACATATACACCACGGAATATTATGCAGCCATAAAAAACGATGAGATTGTGTCTTTTGTGGGAGGCTGGAGGCTATTATCCTCAGCAAACCAATGCAAGAACAGAAAACCAAATACCACATATTCTCACTTATAAGTAGGAGCTAAATGATGAGAACTTATGAACACAAAAAAGTAAACAACAGACATTGGGATATACTTGAGTGGGGAGGTGGGAGGAGAAAGAGAAGCAGAAAAGATTATTATTGGGTACTGGGCTTAATTCCTGGGTGACGAAATAATCTGTATAACAAATCCCAGTCACATGAGTTTACCTAGGTTACAAACCTTCACAGGTATTCCTGAACCTAAAATAAACATTAAAAAAAAGAAAATGTGGTACATACACACAACGGAGTACTATTAGCCATAAAAAAGAGTGAGACCCAGTCATTTGCAACAACATGCATGGAACTGGAGATCATTATGCGAAGTGAAATAATCCAGGCACAGGAAGACACACATCACATGTTCTCACTTATTTGTGGGATCTTAAAATCAAAACAATTGAACTAATAAACACAGAAAGTAGAAGGATGGTTACCAGAGGTTTGGAAGAATAGTGAAGGGCTGGAGGGAAGGTGGGGATGGTTAATGGGTACAAAAAAAATAGAGGGAATGAATAAGACCTACTATTTGATAGTACAATAGGGTGACTAGAGTCAATAAGAACTTAACTGTACTTTTTAAAATAACTTAGAGTGTAATTAAATTGTTTATAACTCAAAGAATAAATGCTTGAGTGGAGGGATACCCCACTCTCCATGATGTGGTTATTTCACATTGCATGCCTATATAAAAATATCTCATGTACCCCATAAATACATACATCTACTATGTAACCACAAAAATTTTAAAAAATAACTTAAAAATAAACTTTTACCTAAAAAAGTGTATATACAAAAATATAAATAATTTATTCTCAACACGTTTCAAAAATGTGTTATGGCAAGCTAGAATCAATCAAACAGAACAGGAATAGTAAGAACATTTACCAAGGATATGTAAATGGACACTTTATAATTTTTTAATTAAAGTAACATTTACAAGAATACTAAATGAATATTACTTTAATACAACACGTATACAAATGTTTTATTAAGGTTTTTAATGCCACCTCAAATGGAATAACATTTCTACATTTTGCCTTCAGTTTTTTTTCTTTTTATTCACAGCTAATATTTGTATGTCCTTTGTTCCTGTTCATTATTAATCTGATTAATCTTACCACTAAAATGAAGACAATTAAAAGGGATAATTCATTCAAGAACTCTATGGATATGCCTCTATCAGTACACTCTATACTGCCTACTTCCCACCTATCAGTTAGTTCCTGGTCTATTCTCTATTTACATAAGAAACATTTTCTCATCAGGTTTTCTCCACCCTTTTTTAGTTTCATTCCTTTGTTCATTCCCAAATAGAACTCCATCAATGCTAACATGACCCAAATTTAGTCCACCTGTCTGTAAAATCAAGAGGCTTCCTAACTAAACAGAAAACTAAATTATTGAGCTTCACTGCCCCTTCTTTGAAGGAACATGAATCCATATGGGACAAAGGCTTTTACATATTTCCCACTAATGTAGAGAAAGACCTCAAAAAAAAGGAATTCTTGGATTTTATTTACATTTAAAAACTGAGAACCATCTTGGAAACAAAAAAACAAAAATAAAAAAAAAAGAAACAAAATACCAAACTGAATACACAGCATATCTGTCATTCAATTCAATGAGACAAAACTGTAAAGAATAATGAAAGCTTTAGGCTGCTCTGCCTATGGAGTAGTCATTCCTTTATTCCTTTACTTTCTTGATAAACTTGCTTTCACTTTAAAACAAGGAAGAATAATAAAAGCTTTAGATTGTGGCAGAATAGGGATTATGTAAACATCATACGACTTTACAAAAAAGAACATGCCCCTAAAATAACAAAAACCTGTCAGTCCTCTAGCATGACAAGGAACAACGCAAAAGAACTGCAAATTTAAGAATGTGGCTATATCAAATGTACGTATACCAATTAAACACTGGAGCAGTTACTACTCTCTTTAGAGGTCACAATGTTCTATATGTGCCCATCATGAAAATGACTGCTCTTGACAGGATATAATCAGCATCAAGACTATATAATGTTCCTTTTCTTAATTGCAAGCTGAAAATCAATTAATTATTCTCTTCACAGAGTAGAAACGCTTCACAAAAATCTGATTTAGAGTTATACTCATCAATGCATTCTAATCCAAAGCTATAATTCCTCTGGTGTCAAGAAATTTTTATTTAACTGAAGGAAGATGGTTATTTAGGGGTTCTGAACACAGGAAGGTGTGTTAAAGTCAGTAACTGGCCTCATGTAATTTGCCAGGTTTTGATCTGCTAACACCTGTAATGACTACTGTATCCATTAAGAACGTGATTACAGGGACATCTCAGGTTGACTGTGCTGTCCTGATTGTTGCTGCTGGTGTTGGTGAATTTGAAGCTGGTATCTCCAAGAATGGGCAGACCAGTGAGCATGCCCTTCTGGCTTACACACTGGATGTGAAACAACTAATTGTTGGTGTTAACAAAATGGATTCCACTGAGCCACCCTGCAGCCAGAAGAGATATGAGGAAATCGTTAAGGAAGTCAGCACTTACATTAAGAAAATTGGCTACAACCCCAACACAGTAGCATTTGTGCCAATTTCTGGTTGGAATGATGACAACATGCTGGAGGCAACTGCTAACGTGCCTTCGTTCAAGGGATGGAAAGTCACCTGTAAAGATGGCAATGCCAGTGGAACCACGCTGCTTGAGGCTCTGGACTACATCCTACCACCATCTGGTCCAACTGACAAGCCCTTGCGCCTGCCTCTCCAGGATGTCCACAAAATTGGTGGCATTGGTACTGTACTTGGTGGTCAAGTGAAGACTGGTGTTCTCAAACCCGGTATGGTGGTCTCCTTTGCTGCAGTCGATGTTACAACTGAAATAAAGTCTGTTGAAATGCACCAGGAAGCTTTGAGTGAAATAAAATAAAGCTTCGAGTGAAATGAAATAAAGCTTTATTCCTGGGAACAATGAGGGCTTCAATATCAAGAATGTGTCTGTCAAGGATGTTCGTTGTGGCAACATTGCTGGTGACAGCAAAAATGGCCCACCAATGAAAGCAGCCGGCATCACTGCTCAGGTGATCATCCTGAACCATCCAGGCCAAATCAGTGCTGGCTATACTCCTGTACTGGATTGCCACATGGCTCACACTGCATGCAAGTTTGCTGTACTGAAGGAAAAGATTGATCACCGTTCTGGTAAGAAGCTGGAAGATGGCTCTAAATTCTTGAAGTCCGGTGATGCTGCCATCATTGATATGGTTCCTGGCAACCTCATGTGTATTGAGAGCTTCTCAGACTATCCTCCTCTGGGTCACTTTGGTGTTTGTGATATGAGACAGACAGTTGCTGTGGGTGTCATCAAGGCAGTGGATCAGAAGGCTGCTGGAGCTGGCAAGGTCACCAAGTCTGCCCAGAAAGCTCAGAAGGCTAAATGAATATTATCCCTAATACCTGCCACCCTAGTCTTAATCAGTGGTGGAAGAAGAATCTTTGAACTGTTTGTTTCAATGGGCCATTTAAGTTTAATAGTAAAAGACTGGTTAATGATAACAATGCATTGTAAAATCTTTAGAAGGAAGGCAGAATGTTTTGTGGAACACTTTGTTTTTTTTGTTTTTTTTTTTACATGTGGCAGTTTTAAGTTATTAGTTTTTAAAATCAGTACTTTTTAATGGAAACAACTTGATCAAAATCTGTCACACAATTTTGTAGACCCATTAAAAGAGAGTTTAATCAGAAAAAAGTAAATAAAATTTAATATTAGAATAAGTAAAATATATTTAGACAGGTAAATATGCTGAGAACATTTTATAATGCACTGCAAAGCCAAATCAATGTTATTTTAATTTTCCACGTTTTTGAATTATATGTATTGTTTACTCTTCCTTCCACTAATGTAGGTTAGCTGAGAGTTAACCATGAAACAATAAAACTCAACCTAGATAATCTGGAGATGAGACAATAAGAATGTGGCAAGTTCTTAGTATCACCACTTCCCCTGATAAGGAGCCTTGCACATAGTAGGTGCTTACTAAATATTTGTTGAAATGAATTGAATTGGAAAATATCATGTTTAAAGTGAATATGCTAATTGGCTTATAAAGTGAGACCTAAAGATTGTATGCTTTGCATAAAATGTACTATGGAGTAATTTTTTTTCTATGAACAAATTCCCCTTTTGCATACCTCAGATAAAAACCTAGAGGGAACTCACAGATTTTTCTACAAAATAAATTTAGAAGTTTAGCAGATTACAGGATATTTTCAAAGCAGCAAGCTTAACAGTAACATTAAACATTTAATTATACATGTTTGCAAATAATCTGGTTTTGTAAAGTTATTTACATTTAAATATAACATATTTAAGGGTCAATGTACTCTGGATGAACAAAAATAAACAACTCTCATCTCTGTTTTAATTTTTGGCATAATATTGTATAGGACCACATGCAAAGCAAATGATGCTCTAAGATTGAGGATCTTACTAGTTTAAAACTCTTAACACAAATCAAAGCAAGCTTTTTAACATAATTTTTTTAAAAATCCACAGTTGCATGTTTTATAACAAAAACGTGTGTCTCATGGATTGATTAACTTTATGAATTTTAAGAATTCATATCCCTTTTAACAAATATATATCATAAAAAGTTACTAAGGTCAATTAACTATGGTCATTCTTAAGTGGAAATACATGTTTTATTTCATGCTCCTTTTTATGTGTACTTTATAAGATAAGAACACTTTCTGCACTCATAAAACTAAAATACCTTGTTTTGTATCTTAATAACTATTTTTAGTTGGACTTTTCTGGTATAATTCCGAAGACTGAAAAAAGTCTAATGTTTACTGATATAATGCATGAGGCAGATATAGGAAAGGAAATTTAAGGATTATTCAATAATAGATGTGGCAAAATTTTGTAATCTCAAATATTTCATAATTTAGTAAATATACTAGGAGGGATAATACAGCTTATACACCCCAAGCTAATGATAGGATGATGGTAGTCTGTATGGTCCATGAAAGAACAGACCGTTTTGTTCATTTCGTTCACAGCACCTAGCACCTAGACCACTGCCTGGCACCACAAAGAATACCCTTAATAAGTACTGGATAGACACACACACACACACACACACACACGCACAGGCTATCATAACAAATCTAATCATGAGCGATCAAAATGGTTGTGAAGAAGTTTTTATTTAAATTCCAATAATTAAATAGATAGACATGAATTTTCCAAATGTCTACAGCTTAAAGACAATACAGCAAAAGACATACTCACTGGTTGCCACTGCACTCCTGCCTGGGTGACAGAGCCAGACCTTGTCCCAAACAAAAACAAAAACAAAACACACATACACAAAAAAAACCCATACTCACTGACGTCTAACTTATGTCCTCTGGGGAGGTCAACTTGCGGTTTGGTAATTAAACTTCCTTGGATTGAACCCAAAAGGGGAACCATATCATAATGCATCCCATCTTATCATCAGTAGTGTTATATAGAGCAAGTCTTCAGTGTCTGCGCATTTACTATCATTTTAGAATGATCAAGGCTTTGACTACATATATAATATTTTATGGATGATCTTTTTTATCATATTAAAGTTTTTATATAGTTTCTGTGAATTTAGTATGCTTTAATATGGCATTAAACTCAAGATTCTTAAAATAGGTGCTCTGTAATTGCACCTATATACCCTGCTACCAAAGGCCATTAAGAGATAGTATAGTCTTATATGATAATTACATATGTTTTCAAAATGTTTTTACTTCAGTATAGCAGGATATCTCATAATGTATACATAACATACATAATGCATTAACAATATGATAATAAAAATAAATTTTTCTAAATACTGTTCGTAAAAATAAATACATAATTAATATTGTTTGTGATGATAGTACTATACTTTTTAGACAAACATGAGAGATAGACTTCTCTCAAAATAACTGAAAGCTCAGAAACTAACATATTGCTGTAAGCTATAATGGTTATAACTGTTAATCCAATACACCTTTTATACAAACCCATAAACACATGAGTGGAAAAATAGCACAGATGTTCATCTCTAATGCAATTTCCATTCAATTTCCTAAGTGCGGTCCCTGTGTGCAAACTAGCTTAACGTTATGTTTAGCTTGCAAATTCTTTTAATAAATAATGAATGCAATAAAACTAGATCAATGGCAAGCTGAGAAATCATAAAAAAAAGGCTTTTGTGTTCAGGCTGTTGCCCATTTCAAACTTTAATCCGGCGACAGATCAATATTACTTTTTTCTTTTTAACCCATCACATAAATAGCAGATAGACTAAATGTAGCCCAAATGCTGTTACTAGCTAGTAGTTGCCAGCAACCTGATAAGATCATTGTACACAATTGCAATCGAATGCTATATACCTTTGTATACACACTACATTACACACCATTAAACAGTCAATTTGTTTAAAAATAAAAATATTATATAGCAATAAAAATACTGTGGCTTATTATTTTTTAACTTTCCTGTACCATATACTTTTTCCAGTAGTATAATTACAAAGTTTCCACCACAATTTGCTCTAATAAACAAAGTAATTGTGATGGGTCAAAATAGTACACAGATACGAGTAGTTTCAACTTCAGGGTTCCTAGATTAAAGGAAATTTTACTCTTCAAAATTAATTACACCTGAAAGAACTAAGTTATTCTTTTAAATGGGTGGTGAGGAGGATACTTCATGCAAATTTGAGTTTCATTGGATTGGGCCTTAAGATTATTCAGGAAAAAAATCAAATCATTCTTTTTAACATGTATTTGTATTCTATTCACAGACTAGAAAGAAGGGAGGAAAACCCTCCTTTTACCAACTCATTTTGAATACACATGCATTTACTGTTTGAAAACAGGATCACAAGTCAACTGCCACAAGGGTTAGTGTTCATATCAAGTAGTATAAATCTAAATCACCAATAATCATTTTATGGTCTTAGGCTCACTTTATTCATTAATTATTGCCTTTTCATAATATTTGAGCATCTCTACTGGGTTTTCACCTAAGGGAAATATCAAGAAGTCATACTTGCTTTGAAGATATACTTCATTTCAAATATTCTAAGTTCATATATTAGATTTTGATACCTTTACATGTGTATTTGTGAAAGGTTTATGGCATGATTACAAATTGTTTTATATTGGATTTAAAATTTCAGGATTAGTATATCTTCAATAACTGCATACTTTAACTATTTCTTACCTTTTGTTAAGGAACGTCATATACTGCAAAGAATTCTAATAAGAGGAATAAACGTGTGTATATGTGTATGCATAGTTGTATTCATTCAACAAATGTGAATTAAATGTCTAATATACACAGAACATTAGGCTTAATGAACCTTTTCAAAGAACGTTACTGGAGTTAAAAATGACTCCTCAGAAATTATTATTAAAAACCCAAGGTTTTGTTTTATGTAACAAATTCAGTTCTTTTTTAAGGATACCATGATAGGTATTGATAAAGATATCTTTTTCTTAAAACATATTCAATTTTGCATAAAACAATTTGTGTTACTTCTTAAATTCACAGTCTCAGTATAATATTTTCACCAATTTTAACATACAAATTTAGTGTTGAAGAAGGATGTGGTGAGATACCACCATAAAGGCATTTACACATTTTAAAGAAAAATTGAAAAAAAGTTAACTATTTTCCATAATTTATTGAAGTTCATTTTCAACTTTTCTTTAAACTCTACCATAGGTAATAGTATACATATCATAAACATCCAACATTAGCCTAACCACTGGAGATACAATTTTTCCTGAATTTGAGATCTAAATAGTATCATTTAACGGTGTTTACTGTTTTCCTATTCTAATAAAGGTAGGAATAAAATTATGATTAAGGAATACTGTGTAGGCTTTCAAAGAGGATCTACATCTAAAAACTGATTTTTAAAATATATATTCTTCAGAAAGCTGAATAAGAGAAAATTTGAACCTCCTTTTTAAAATTTGCATTTTCAAATATCAGACTAACTGAAAAGTTATATCACCTACAATATTAAATTCAAAATATTTCACATCAATTGACAGCATTGTTTCTCTCTCAGAATCAAGGAAACAAAGCCATGGGTTAAATGAAATGAAGTACGGTAGTTATGATATTTAATGCAGGTAAGTAATAAATTTCACTAGCGTTATATCAAAGTTCCTTTTGGTGACCATATGCGTTTCTGTAGTTTAAGAAATTAAACTATAAAAGCATTTATTGCTACTGGATAATTTATGACTTACAAATAATTAGCAAGAATATAAATATATTAAAATGAAATAAATTTTCCTGGGATTTTCAGCATTACCAAGTGAATAAATGATGAATACACAATGGACAGGCTGTCTCCTTTCTACTAAAAAAAATATTAAATCCTGAAGGGGTTCTAAATCCCTTCATAAGAGTATATTGCAGCTGCATTAAGCCAACAAAAAGCTTATTAGTAAGGATTTAAAAACTAACACCCTTCTGTAATCAATTTGGATACAGTATTATTCTATTTATAGTGACACTTTCAATGTGTCCCAATCATATATTACTAATTCTCATTTTTCCTCCTATGATTAAATATTAATGTAGAGGCACTATTAAGCAGCTACACTATATTTAGGCTTTAATATGTTGATCTCCACCATTTTGGAATAGTTCACAATATAGCATGAGTATTGAGACTCTTTCCCATGAAAAATCTTAAGATTGATTTGGTATTTTTCTCTGATTCTCAAATAAAATAAATTTAGTTGTTCTAGCAGAAAATGGAAAAAGGGATGCCGCCACTTTAAAAGCTTCAATCTCTTTGACATTGCTGGCAGTGTATGGGAACATTAATGCATCTGTCATGATAACAAGCTAAGAATAACATCTAGACATCAAACCGAGCAGAGAATCCATCTGAAGTGATTCATTCAGATCTGTCTCATTGATTTATTAAACACAGGGCAACATCTGCAGCCTCACAGAGCCGCTTGGTGAAATTAATGCAAGATCAATTCAAATGGAAAAAAGTGTAAAAGAGATAAATCAAAACACAATTTGCATGCAGTTCCACAATCAGGCTTATTGGGTACAAATGCTCAATTTCCCGTCCAAAGCAAATGTGTTTAAATGTTGTTTTATCTTTTTAGAATTGTGTGATCTGAAGTGACAGTGAAGAGTTTTGCAGGTTGAGATGGTGAAAGGGAAGAAAAGGAGGAAATAAATGCAACCAAAGGCTTTTTGAATATACAACAAGAATATCATTAATACCTAATTGTTTTGCTTTGAGGGAAAGGTTTGATGTCTTTTTCACAAAAACATAATATTTTCAGTTTTGGATCAATTAGGATGGTTTTAATACATATTTAAAATGTATAGAGTAGATAACCCCAAATCATTTGTATCTCTAAATGCATAAGATAAAGTGCCACTGGATAGCTAGATTCCCAACTGAAATATAACATGTTGTGATTAGGCTTTTCACAATTATATTTGTCTGCTAGAAGCATGTTAAAGACATCTATGAATTTCATTAAGACAAAATAAGGTTACCTAAGAAAGCATCAAATAATTCAGACTTGATATCTTCTATAGGAACTAGGTATTTCCTGTGTAAAACCATATAAAACATTAATGTCTGAAGACCATCATGTCCTAATTATTTATTGACATTCATGTGCTATACATTGAGGATAATATGATACATAAAAATCCAAAGATATACTGCATCATGTCATGGATCATTTCTTTAATGTAGTAACCATCACCTAATAAATGAGTGAGGCACATATGAATACCAGCTAAAGTAGTTAAATACAAAACTGTTGGTTATTCAGAAGCGTATATTTAAAATGAATGTAAACATGGAAAGTCTATGCATTGGCATATAATTATAATTGCTTTAATTATAATCCTGACATCATTCTTCTCATAAAGGACAGAGCATTGTTGACCATGTGGCTGCTTTTAACAGACAATATGACTATCTCTTCATTGTCCTATAGAATAAAATGTGCATTTACTACACAGATTCTTTTCTAAAATGTTTTTATCATTACTGAAAATGTAAGCCATACAAAATATTAACTCAGGAAAGTGATTCAAGTTCTGCAAAAATTTGACATTGCCTAACTGTAAATGTAAAACATAAATTTTCAAAGTAAATTATGCTACTCTGTATGGATCATGAACTATAAAGTACTCATCAAGTGTGACTACAAAGCCAAACTCATTGAGCGCTCATAATAACCATATTTCTAGTATTTGAAAATAGTTTTAAAATGTTGTAAAATGTGCTTTGATATTAAAAATCTCTTTAATATAAAACCATATTTATGTTCTGTTTATATACTATCAAAATAACAAGAAACCACAATTGGAAATTTTACTTTAAAAACTGAATTCTATTTGTTTGAATATATGTTGAATCATGTCTCCAAATGCATTACTAAAATATTTTCTTAATCATACTTTCTTGTTTCTTCAAGCACCCATTTAACTCTAAATGACCGAATAACATTAATCAGTTGGTCCTCAAACAAAATTAAATGCTGGTCATGAAATCTGACAATATTTTACTTTTATG
This sequence comes from Homo sapiens, assembly GCF_000001405.40. NCBI lineage: Eukaryota > Metazoa > Chordata > Mammalia > Primates > Hominidae > Homo > Homo sapiens. The sequence continues at coordinate 86,153,063 of NC_000023.11, read as the reverse complement.
TTGATAGGTAGGTAAAAAGAGAAACACTAAAATTTATTGATTGTTTAGTAATTTTCATATTTAGGAAAAACAATTTTTAATTTACTATTTTACTGCTTCATTAAACTTAGGAGAATTTAGTAAGAAAAATCTATTGCATAAGAGTGAAAATTGTCAACATTTACTTTCTAAACCTGCCTGTTCTCTCTGGTATTAAAAACTCTAAGTTTTCTTGCACAAAATATTAAACAGAAATCACAGTGCTTTATCTGCAAAAAACAAAATCCAAAACAGTATAGTAATTTTTCCCATTTAGTGTTGATTATTTTTATCATCATTTAAAAAATAATCCTCAAAATCATATCCTTATAATTAATTTTGGAAGTTAACAGTCATGAAGGAAAAATGTTGTACAGTTCTTTGAAATTACAGTGATGTAAACCTTGACTTGTCGAACAGAACAATGAATGGTCAAGAGTTTTAATCTTACTACCTCTCTAGCAGTTGAAGCAGATATTATTTCTTAACTTATTTTCCAGGAAGACAACTGAATATTTTTATAATTGGCTAACAACAAAATAGTTAATAAAAGGCACTGGTAGTTCTTGCTGTGACTTTCAGTACTATCAAAGAAACAATTATGTATATATTTTACTCATTCATTTTTCTTCAGTGCACATAATGGGCACTGAAGCAAATCAAAATGTCACTTAGTGGCAATACCTTAAGGTCTTTGAAAATGAACAATTTGAAAACAGTCCACTTTGTGTTTTCTGGGATAGCACAGAAAGCATTCCAAATGCTCTAAGTCAGGACTTGTACTCTTCCCCACATACTCAACAGAGAGGGGAAGAAATGTTTATTATACAGAAAGAGAAAATTGCCAATGACACCATTACAAATAGGCCTTCCATTCAACAACATATTATGAACATTTATCCATCAAGCGATGAAGATGAATCTCTTCTTTGAAATAAGAATAGTGTTTAAGAGTTTCTATTCGCTAAACATTTACTTTTTCCTTGCACTTCCCTCCCTGCTCTTAGCTAGAAGCACTAAGAAGTCATGAGTCCTGAAGGACAATCCTCTTTAGCCAGATCTCCATTGGTACATCACTCATCTTGGGGCATCTCTATAAGCTCTTCTGTTCCATCTTTCACTCTGTCTCAAGGCATCACTCTGCTCTTTTCCTGCATTTCTACTCTCTCACTGGCCTCGAGTCTCATCTACCTTACTTTGTCTCTCTTGGACCTCTTTCCTGTTTACATCCCTTACCTTTCTTTTCACTGAGTAGAAAAGTCACAGAAATAATGTTGATCTAAAAATTTTGCAATTTTCTTTAAAAATTCAGATTTTGGGAGTAACTTAAAGTATACATTTCTGTAAATAATCTTACCTAACATCATAAAGCATTTATTAAATGCATTATTATATTTTGTAATTTTAATAATGTGGTTAGGAGGGCACTTCGAATCAGCAAAATTTGTTGATATCATTTTATAATTAATTAGATTTTTCCCGGAAATTGTGGTTGTCTTCTATCTAAAATTGCAATTTAGGTGTGTTTCTAGTAGTTTTCCTCATCTTCACTGATGGATTGCATTCATAGAATATACTTCATAAATTTTTACAATTAATAAAATTGCAATACTTGTAACACAGTTTTAAAATATGAATATAATAAACCAAATACCCGTAAAGAAAAGAAAATGCAATAGAAGCCACATGAATCACATCACAGATCTATTTCTTCCTACATATTTAATATTTCTCTATCACCTTTATACACACACATACACAAAAGCAATTCACACACATGAAAAGTTACTATTGCTGTGATAAGCAGTAAATAAAAGCTAATTAGATAAAATAATAACCTAAAAATACATGGTATAACAGGGTCCAAAAATATTACAAGATCACCTGCCTCTGGATTTTTTTTTTTAGTAAGTAGCTCTAATAAAAATTAGGAAAAGTTTCCATTTATAGAGAAAAGTATCAAAATCATATTAAAATACTAATCTATTTATTTGAAAATCATGGTCATAGGTTTTTCTCAAGAATGTGCAAATTAATTGAGGAAGGAAGAATTTCCTAAGTGTAATAATTGTTCCACTTTAAGAATGGGCATTTTTAGAGATGGGAGAGGGGGAAGAGAGAAAGAACAGGGATGGAGAGATGAGAGACTGATAAAGAGAGAGAGTTAATAAGAGAATAGGTTTTCATGTCTGCAATTATTTAAATGTTTGAGTGTTTTTGGATGGCAACAAATGAATTAGATGGCCACTATCTGAAGTCCCTTGTAACCTTTTTAGTTTGTGTACTAATAAAATGCTTTGTAGTCGAAATAAAATTGTCTTTTTACTCTTACAATCCATAATTGCCTGTTTTATTGAGGGAGCTGTTATCCTTTGTGTTTTCAGGCCATCTATCTTCCTTAAGAAAAGCTGATATAATAAACCAGCTTTGTAAGCCCTAAATATGAATCAGGTAGGAGTTCTCACATAAATAGTTTTCTGTTTAATTGCTTGAACACAGAAAAACACTGCTCAATTGAAGAAAAAAAAGAAGAAGGAAAAAGCTTCCCTTGTAAGTTCTGCAGCATTATCTTATTGCAGCAGTAAGCAACAGTTTGCCTACAAGTTGTCAGTATCATTCAACTATACATGGCAATTTGGATTTTACAACAGATGTGGCAAACTGTTACAGTTTTAGTTCACAGACCCAGAGATTTTATGATTTAAAGTTCATTTTGAGAAAGTTGTTGGTTTTTTATTTTATTTTTGCAAAATAATAAGCAGTAGTGCTGTTTTACAACAAAATCCTTTGCTCCTTTTAACCACGTGATGGTGATTTTTGTGCCAAATCTGTGCTTTCCTGAGATGTTACCAAACTGGAGATGGAATAAACACTAGAAGACTAATTCACAGGCGTTTAAAAAGTCAGATAATCTTGAGTATACTTTTTTTCTTTTTAAACTCAGAAACATTGAACACAATTTGCTTCTCATATACAAATGGACATTTATTCACTAGTGTACTTCTAAACTGTGATATGAAGGAGGTACACTTACAACCAGGGAAGCTGGCCATCATCATTTAAGGAATCCTGTCTTTAAGGGAATGGGATCCTTCCAACTGTTCGCCTGGAAGAGCTGAGAGCATCCTCTCTAGAAATCTGCCAACTTGTACACCAACCTCCAATCCAGTCCCAGCCACAGTGGTTCATGCCCCACATTGCCCTCTGCAGATAACCCAAAACGGACGATCCCAGGAAAGTGATATTTGTCGTCGTCCTTTTGTAAAAATAGTATCCATCGACTTTCCTGTATCGTGTACTGGGGAGCTTTGCGCAGCAAGCATGAGCATACGTTCTCACGCGCACTTGCACACATACACACCAACACCACCACAAACAACAACACCACACACCCCACACATTCTCACAACAAACACACGGGATGGGGATCGAATCACCCTCTGGGATGGATTCTAGACTTCCCACCCCCTGCATGCCCCAAATGCTGTGTTCTGGCTTGCCAGCTTAGGAGCCCAGTTTACAGCTCAGCCAGCCCCCAGAGAAAGCCCTTGGTATCCGTGTTCAGAAGAAAACCTATCCGACCCGTGCGGCCACAAAAGAGCAGGAAAGAAAACCAAATAGAGAAATTAACAAATAACCACGAACAGCCAAAAGCCATGCAAGATATGGGCAAAAGGCTGGAAAGTTTCAATAGAGGACTGCAAACTCAAGTTTGCGGGACTTTTTTAGACCGAAGCCCTTGCACTGAGCGTGGACTAGAAGGCACCAGCATTAATGAAAGCTTCTAGTCCTCTTTCCCCACCGATTTACAGCGTGAAGAATAGAGGCAAACTAGTTAAGACTCACTCTACAAACAAAGTTGGATGAGGGTGGTGAGGCATGCAGAAGAGGCCAAAGGGGTAAGAGAAGTGGGAGAGCCAAGAAACGAGTGTCTCACCTGGCATTGGTGCAATCGGTGAACAAAGTTTCGAAGTCTTTCCTGGTGATGAGTTTGCAGCGGTTTACCCCGGGCTGGATGGCCCCCAGCCCGCGGAGGATCCGGACCTGCTCAACAGTACACACCACGGGGGATATATCCAGTCTCTTCAGCTTGGTGTACACAGTGTGCAAGCCTCCCACCAGGTGCTTGAGAAAAAGATCAAAGACTTGCGGCAGGCAGATCAGTTCCTGGCCGTCCATCAGGAACGAAGCCACCTTCATCCCGTGCATGTCGACCATGCGGCACTCGTTGGTGTTGGTGTTGCCCCTGCCGCCGCCTCCGGCACTGTTGCTGTGGTTATTAACCACGAAACTATTGATCATATTAGGAGTAAGACGAGGGGGCTCTCTGGGAGTCGAGTACAGGGGTTCGGCCCGGAATAAGCCCCCCGGGACGCCGGCGCCGCTGGAAGTTGCAGAGATCACTGGAGATGCGGAGACAGCCATGGTCACTCTGTCTCTATCGTGGGTCCTCCGGCCCTCGCTTTCTCGCCCTGACTCCTCTAGATCCCCTCGCACTCACTCCCTCACTCTCGCTCTCTCTGGCGCGCTCTCGCTGGCTCCGAACTGTTCGCAAGTCTTCAGCAGCCGGCTCACGCTCAAGCTCAACAAACAGTGAGCAGCCCCGACCCGCTGCGGCCCCAGACCCCACCCCCACCACACCCCCTCCGGAGACTGGCAGCGTCCCACAGCCAATGGGCCCCAGCCCTTCTGCGCCCGAGCGCTCCGAATGGCTGCCGCTGGTGAGGAGGTGGAGACTCCCTGGCCGGCGTCCGACTACCTGAGTGGGTCCAGGCTCGACCAAGAACAGAGATCCAGTCCGAGAAGGGGGCGGTGTGGTGCCTCTGCTTCTTGCCTCTCTGCCAGACGAGAGAACTCCCAGATGTCACGCAGAGTTCTCAAAGTGGCCTATGCTGTGAACCCATCCGCTCCGCGCTCCGCTGGTGTCGGGGTGGAAACGCAAAGCGCGACTCCTGAACGTGCCTCCCCATGCCCCTTCCGCCACCTTACACCGGGTTAGATCGTGGAAAGTGAGGTGGCAGCTCCAATTCCACTTGCGCATCTCTCCCAAACTCTGCGGGGGCTAATAGATGGCTTCGCCTAGCTTCCGGGAGAAAGACGCTAGCGAGTTCAGAAGTAAACAGCTCAGCCCTTTAGCCCACCTAAGTGCGCTTGGTGTAAATTTTCCCCTACCCAGCGCGCAGAGGAACAAGCGTCCGAGATCATACTCAGATCAGAGTTCTGGTTGCTAACTCGCACTGACATTCAGGAAGCGTAGTGAGCCTGTGAACACTTTGGGAAACAGAGAGACTTGCTCTGTGGGTGGCAGATGGACACCTCATTTTATGGCACTTCCGCCACTGTCCTGGAAGAGACTTGTCTGTGTCCCCGTCCCTTAGTGTCGAGATTGCCCTGGCCCTACTCCCCGCTAAAATTGATAGGAAATGTTTGTTTAGGACTCAAAACAGTCATCACGGAATATGAGGAAAGGGCGAGGGTTTGCATTCTTGAACGTGCATTTTCCTTCCTCTTCCATTGGCTTTGAAGGTCCAGTGATTGGAGCTCCAGTCCTAAACAAGATTCCACTTCCCCCACTCATCAAGCGTCCCAAACGTACTAAGAGCTTATAGAACAAAATGTCTAAGCAGGGTACATTCCAGGGAAAAGGAATGGTCTTTTCCACACAGCATATGGTGGTTAGATCGCCTTAGCAAAGTTGTTTTTGTTTGTTTTGAGACAGATTCTCACTCTGTCGCCCAGACTAGAGTGCAGTGGCACAGTCTCGGCTCACTGCAGCCTCCGCCTCCGGGGATCAAGCGATTCTCCTGCCTCGGCCGAGTAACTGGGACAACAGGTGCGCGCCACCATGCCTGGCTAATTTATGTATACATATACATATATATATACACACATATACATATATATACATATATATACACACATATACATACTTTTTTTTTTTTTTGTAGAGACAGGGTTTCACCATATTGGCCAGGCTGGTCTCGAACTCCTGACCTCGTGATCCGCCCTCCTCGGCCTCCCAAAGTTCTGGGATTACAGGCGTGAGCCACCGCTCCTGGCCTAGCAAAGTTGTTTTAAGACTCCTTGTCAAGCTATTCATTCTCTAAAACCAAGATATTTCCTTTCCTGTGCTCCTCTTCTCTGGAGGCTGTTAGTTATTCATAAAGTGAAATCCAGGTTTCGTTTCTTTACAAAACGTTACCAACTACATGGCTTATGGTAACTTCTCTGATATTCTTCTAAAATATAAATAATGTTGGAAACTTACTGAATTTTATTCAGCCCTAGTTGTACTTAGCAGGATCAACGAGAAATGTGTGGGTTCTTTTTGCTCCCTTATTTAGTTACAGATACCCTAAATTGGATTTTTCTGCCTCTTTCTACAACATATTTTCTTCTTTTCTCATTTCATCAACCAGGTTTAAGAACTGCCCTTTGAATCTCTTCATACTGTTTCAATTTCAAATTGTACAGGGTTAAAATGCTAAGAAGTTGTGATGATCATTGCTTTCAAAATGCAGTGATATGACTCTAACATAATAGATTGGGATATAGGCAGCCACGAGACATTTTTAAAAGGCATCAAAATGTTTTTGCTACATCGATACTGTTGTGGGAAGAAAGTAATAAGGGGCAAAAAAAGGACAATTGAGAAGAAATAGCAAAGGCAGAAAACGCCTCAACCAAAAGTAGAAGTATCAAAAAAGAATAAAACAGCACTGACAGAAATGTTTGTATTTACCAGTTTTTAAAAAGAGAAATCCCAAATTGTATTCAACAGGTGTTTTGACTGAAATGGCTGTTAAACTATCTGTTGAAATAGCTTGCCTCTGATAACTTATTGTGATTGAAATTTCCAGGTGAATAAGTTTGGCTGTAAAGGATGTTTTATTTTCAAATGGCTCTAATTACGTTAAAAATCCTAAGGCCAAGCTACCCCTTGTATGTAGCTGTGCCCACATTATCAAGGCCTTTTTATTTGCAGAGCAATTTGGGGTTTTCAGCAATAAAACATTGCACAGATATTTTGATGTTTCAAATTTAAGAAATCTGAAATATAAAAAAAGAAAGGCAGATTATTCATTCATGCTGTAATCAGTAATTGTGAAATTGAAGAACAGACATACTTTGACAACTTTAGAAAAGGCACAAATTAAAAGTCATGTGTTTAATGAGATGTATCAGGTTTACAGTAATATTTTAATTATTACTAAAGATTACGGTTCTATTTCTAGCAGAAATACTAGAGACTCAAATTGGCCATTGATCATTGAAAGGTTAAAGTTCTTTGGAAGTTTTCAACACGCAAAAGACCCTCGGTTTCATTATTTGAATTCCTTCTCATTGCAGTCTTCTAGATAAACTTGGTAGCGTTCTTAAGTAACACATGCAATTTAAACATTTAGTCGTTTAGATCTAAGAGAGCAGGTTTTGTCTCCTTTTTTCTTGACTTTTTGATTATTCTATTTTTTATCACTACTATTTCTACTATTACTATCAGTGCTTTGAGATTGAGACAATCAATTTTACACAGAGGGTTTGTTTTTGTCCCTTTCTGATTTTAATGTCTTCCATAAGCCAAACATACTTCTAAACAGGGCTAGGTTTCTACAAGACCAGAGGAAGCCTTTCACATCAACACCCTGTAAGTTTGGAATTGCTTGATGCAATATAAAATCATAAAAAGGTGGCAGTAAACAGAGTACCCTTGGGAGATGACTCTCTATGGAGAGAGGCACTGCATTAAAACTAAGAAAATACTCAAGGTTTGTGAATTAATACAAGACAGGAGCCAACCACCGCAACAAATAACGACAAAATTAGTATAAGCAGGTACCATATCTCATCAGAAGAAGTTCTAATTCCAGTGGAATGATTTGGGGCCTAAGTGTAGTTTCCCATACACTGAAATGCTGTAAACTTCCATGACTTAATTAACAATTTACATTTTATCTTAATTCATACTCAGTTTGGAGGGGAGGGTGCTCATCTGTGATTTTAGGCAAAATATTCTACTTTGACACTGTCAGTAAAATGCAGGTACCATTTTAACTAAAAATTAAAAATACATATATTGGCATGCTTATGCAGCACTGCAAAATATCCAGAACTATTTGAAGGGACTGGTTTTCAGATCAGGCATTCAAGTAAATCCCAAGGTAATAAATGGAATTATTTGAAACCCTCAGCCAACTGAAGTTACAACCTTGAATGTGGCGGCTAATCACAACCTCCCAGGAGACCTCTAAGGTTCACTTTTAGGTAAACAATAAAAGGAAATTGGGCAAGACAATAAATGTAAAATGAAAGCCTTCATATAACTGAGAATTTAAGTGATGAAAGCCTATAGCTATGTATGCATGTATACCCCATTAGGAAACTGGTTATACGATTATCTATAACATCATTTTTTTCATTCAGTTACAATGTTAAATTGAAGATGAATTCCAAGGGAGGCAAAGGTGGAGAAAGGGGACCAGTAGAGCATCAAGAGAATTGGTCAAAACCCAAAGAGTAACAGTTAAAATCCGATACTTAAAGGAAAGATGAACATTTTCTAACTGAAATATAAAAAATAAGCTTTCAAATTACCTTATAAAGTATAAGCGCTTACCAACTTTTAAGATATGCTATTTCATACTGCACTCTCCTAAAGGAGAAGGAAACATGTCGTCTTAAATTCCACCTATGTCTCTCACTGTACTGTTCCCTTTTAAATCTTGGGCTTTTAACTGTTCAAATTCAAGCTATTTTAACCTCAGCTGGTCTCCCACTGCTACTTAATGTCCTTTTATTCATTTCGTTGACTCCCTATTGAATTCCCTGTAGCAGCTACTCCAAACCTTTCCTATTCTTTGCAAGTCACCCTTCCCCTCACTCTCATTAGCTACTGCCTCCAACTTCTCTATGATTTTACCACAAAGTTATTTGACAGGCGTTCCCTCCGCCTCCCTTCTCCCCTCCTAAAAGGATTTTTGCATCTTCTCTCTTAAAAAATAAAAAGCCTCCTCCACCGCTTCCATTGATGTTCTTCATTCCTTTCTTTCACGTCGTTCAAGTGACAAATCTGTTTTATTCCCACCTCTCTATTTTGCATCTCCAGTCTCTCCCTCTCTACTTGTTCTTTTCACCTTTTACTATATAAAATGTTCAAGGCTATGAATCCTTAAGACAAATCAAAACTTTCTACTCTAAAAAGAGTTCTCAGAGTGTGGTCCCTAGATCACCGGCATCAGCATTACCTGGATGCTTGATAGACATGCAAACAGTTTGGCCCTACCCAAGACCTGCTGAATTAGAACCTCGGGGTGAGGCTCAGCAACCTGCATTTAACAAAGCCCCTAAGTGATTCCATTGTAGGTGGAAATTTGAGATCCACTTGCCCTGAAGTTACCATCTTTGCACAAACTTTTTGAAAATCTACAATTGTTTCTCTTGTGTCTTCACCTTTAGCAATTTTATTTCTGCTTGCTTGCCACTTGGCTGAAACTAATCTACCAGAGATGATTACTGACCTCCTAAATGCCGAATACAAAGTTGTTTTCTAAATCTTCATCCTTTGATATTCTGAAGCTTTTCACACTGCTGACATCCTTTTTGAACCCCTAACTTTTGTTTTAATGACTTTCTAACAATCTGTTTCTCCTCTTTCATACACAGCTTTTCTTTTTCATGCCCTTGATCTTGACCCTGAAATGTCAAAAACCCTAGTGTCTACACTCTTACTTGTGGCAATTTCATGAACTTTCCAGTCTATAGCACCACCAACAACTCTTTTACAGATTACCTCAAATATTATTTCTAGCTCTCTTGAAACTCTCCTGTAGAATTGGACGTCTCCACTTTGATGTCCTATGATCACCTCAAACTCAACATGCCCAGAACTGAATTTGAATTCAGTTTTGAATTAATCCTTATCTTATCCTCTTCAAATCTGGTCTTTATTTTCCATTTCTGATATTTCTAAATGCTTTTTCCATGCAGTAAGTCACCTGAAATGGGAACTGGAGAGACCTCTTTGATTTCTCTCTATCCATTTTACTCCCATTCAATTAATCACTAAGTTTTGCGATTTCTCTCTCAGCAATATCACTCCCTTCCATTCCTTTCCATTCCCAATGCCACCACCTTGGGTTTGTTCATTATGTGTTCTTTGGATACCATTACAATAATTGCCTCTTAATCTCCCCACTTTCTGGCATTTCCTCTTCCAGTCTATATACCAGTCTATATAGATTATTTTTTCTAATGTTTCACTCTATTTATTAGAAATACTCATTACTACCCCACTGGCTACCAGATAAATTCCAAACTCCTTAGACTGACCTTTAATTCTTCTTTGATTTGTTTTTGTTTGTTTGTTTGTTTTTTTTTTTGACAGAGTCTCACTCTGTTGCTCAGGCTGGAGTAAAGTGGCATGATCTCGGCTCACCACAACCTCCACCTCCCAGGTTCCAGCGATTCTCCTGCCCCAGCCTCCCAAGTAGCTGGGACTACAGGCGTGCACCACCATGCCCGGCTAATTTTTGTATTTTTAGTAGAGACGGGGTTTCACTATGTTGGCCAGGCTGGTCTCGAACTCCTGACCTCGTGATCCACCCACCTTGGCCTCCCAAAGTGCTGGGATTACAGGCGTGAGCCACTGCGCCTGGCCAGTGATTTACCTTTTTATCCTTTCCTCCAGTACTCTTTGACATGTTGCCTGTGCACCAATAAATGAGTATTACTTTCTACTATTCTTAAACTTCTTATACCTTCCCATCTGAGTGCTAATGCTCATGTCATTCTTTTACCATAGGATATGTTGGTGCACACCTCCTCATCTCCACCCACCCAAATCCTAACCACACTTTAAAAAGGAAGTCTAATTCAGCTCCAGGAAGACCTCCCTCATTTCCTTTTTTCAGCAAGAAATGGGCTTTCACTCTTCTGTCTCTTACTGCACATCATGCCTCTCTTAAGGTAGTTAAAACATGCTTCCTTGTAGTGCAAGTTGTTTGCAACTTAGTCGTAGGCTCTCTCCTAGAATAAGGTTTAGTCAGGTAAGAGATTATGCATATCTCAGTCAATATGATACTTCAAGTGCCAACCACTGTTACTGACTCACAGTATGTGCCCATACATGTTTATCTAATGAATAAATATGTGATTATGATCTATAACCTGTTGTTCAACATAAATGTTTGTTATCATTAATTCTGAGGCAGGTCCTAAGAGGTTGGTGTGCATAAAATATTTATTTTTTGTTAAAACAATGATGATTTTTGTTTTTTGGTAGTTTCTGGATCTTTTTAGTGATGACTGGCTTCTCAGATTAATAATTATTTTAATTTTTATTTAAGCATTCATTTCCTTACAAAACTTAAGTGTGATATATTTATATTATATTATGTTTGCTTCCCATGAACCCTAAGGAATTTACTTGTTACCAATCTGCAATGAATATATTACAAAATTATAATGAAACATATTTACATCTCTGTTTGAAATCTCATTAATTTTTTTTATTCTACATGTTTTGTTTTAGGTAAGGGTATCTCAATAGAGGAAGTATGTCATTGAGATAATTATTTCAAATCATTGCTGGGAGCTGATAAAACTGCACACAGCTAATGTGTAAATTTACTATTGTTTGCAGAATAACCAGCTCTGACTCGAGGAAACAGGGAGGAATTATAACCCTTCTGATTATGGATAGGAGAAAAATAGGTACTTTTCTCTGATAGGGAAAATACACTGTCAGTGCGATCAGAACACTAGGCAATTTTTGCTTTTTGTTATTGTTATTGTTTTTCCCCTACAAAAGTTGGGTAAAGAAAGCAAGAAAGATAATAATTGTGTAGTTGAAAATATAGGTAAGGCCTTCTCTGAGTTTTGCTGAAATAATCCAGATAGAACGACTGAACCATTTGGCTGAATTCATATAGATAAGCAACACTTCATCACCAAGCCAACAAAAAGTTGACAATAAACTTCCAGTAATATGTGTATAGGCCACCTGAGGGTTGAGTTGTGTAAAATGTTCAATATTTATAATAAAGTTACTGTAATAGTATTTATATAACTGACATCTGTTGAATGCTTACTTGGTGCAGGCATTATGCTGAAGACTTTCTAAACACCTTCTTATTTAATTTTCATGATAGTTCTGTGAAGTAGATTCCATTATTATCCCCATTTCTGAGATGAAGAAATTAAGGCTTAAAATAATTAATATGTCCAAGGTCATACAGATATAAAATAGATGAGCTGGAAATACATTCAAATATGAATTTAGAAGCCAAATCTTAACTACTACACTATACATATACTTTCTTTAAAAAAAAAAAAAAAAACTGCTCTACACTAAATTTCTAAAGTTTGGTGGTTTTTTTTTTTGAGACAGAGTCTCGCTCTGTCGCCCAGGCTGGAGTGCAGTGGCACAATCTCTGCTCACTGCAAGCTCTGCCTCCCAGGTTCACCCCATTCTCCTGCCTCAGACTCCTGAGTAGGTAGGATTACAGGCACCTGCCACCACACCCGGCTAATGTTTTGTATTTTTAGTAGAGACAGGGTTTCACCATGTTAATCAGGATGGTCTCGATCTCCTGGCCTCGTGATCCACCCACCTCGGCCTCCCAAAGTGCTGGGATTACAGGCATGAGCCATCGCTCCCAGCCTAAAGTATTTTTTTAAAATTTGATGTTTTAAATGTAAAGTTGTATCTTTAATAAAGAAGACAGGAAAATTAATAAATTGGGGAAGGTTTGTATCATTAGGAAAAAAAAACTCTGTTTGTCTGAATCTTAGACAAAACAATTATCTTGGCTTTAGAGCCATATGATTGACTCAGTCTCCATATGGTGGCACAAATCATAAATTGCAGGTTTAAGGTTTTTGGAAATGTTAATAAAACAACTTTCAATGTTTACATTTATAATATCGAAGTTCTGAGTTGAGAGAAAATGACACGAAAACATATCTGTACATTCCAAACTATTGAGAAACTTGTGACATGTCCAAAACTTGCCTTACATTCAACTAATGAAGAGGAGTGCTTGACGAAAATGAAAATAAACTGAAGACATACCATTGCAGTATGAGCAGTACTTGTACTTTTTGTTTCTTTACAGTTCAATGCTTTATTCATTGATTGCTGCCCAATTAGGACTCACACACTACAGTAAACTCTTCACAACCACAAGATCCCTTTGGGCCAACGTTTAGTTATTCCTCTCTGAGAAAGCAGTCTAGCAGAGTGGTTAAGGAAGTGGAAACTGGCCAGACTGCCTGTGTCCAAAGTCTGTCTCCCCAGTTTATCACCTGGGTGATCTTGGGCAAAATATTTAACCTCTTCATGCCTCAGTTTTCTGATCTATAAAATTGGAATAAATAATAATAGTATCTTCCTCATAGGGTTCTGTGAGATTGCAAGAGTAAATGTATACAGCCGAACATATGTAAATTGCTTAAAATAGTACCTGTTGCAGGATAAGGGCTATTCCTGTTAACTAGTATCACTTAGCTTTTAATGGGTTTTTCAAATTTTAGTTTCAGTATATACAAATTGTAACTCTGTCAACTGGAAATAATTATAAAAGGAAGGAGGATGCTGACAAGTAGTAGTAGAAAAGGGAAGAGGGTAGGAGGGAAAAGCCAGCGTATACATTTCTGCAATGCAGGCTTGGGGAGATACAAGAAGTAGAGGGAAAGTAGCCCAGGCCTTAGAATCATATTCAGATGTCTGGGAGTAGAGAGAGAACCAAGATGCTGGCAAGAATATCTGACAAATATGTTTCATAACAGCTAAATAGGATCACTTTAAAAAAATTAGTGCAAACATTGTTTCATCTTTAACTTCCAGGGATCTATGCCTCTCTGGGATCTTTGGCTTGAGAGAACAACTCTGTGTCATAACACATGAAAGATCTTGAGTATTTGAATGGTGGACTAGACACAGAGGAGCACTGCTACCACCTACTAATGTGCATACCACCAGCATTAAAGTGAAACAAGGTGATAAGCCTGTCCTTGAAAAGGAGAGGGGAGAAAGAAGGAAATCCTGAGCAGTTTCTCATGACAAAGTATGACAAATAAACACTGATTGTACAGTTCTCCGTGTTGGTCATTTAAAATGTTGGGGAAAAGCCATGGTAAGTCTGTTAATGTGCCAGAGTCATTGTCTCAGTTTAGTGCATTGAAAAAAAAAGATAACGGCTTCGTAGGTACACTCATGGGCTCATTCCTTCCAAATCTGGATCCCTAAAACTGTAAGTTTCTCGCAAATGACTTCTCCTATTAGAAATTTTGAGGAACTTTACCTTCATGATTGAAGAAGGACTTAACTTCACTCCTTACCTACTTCTTTATCACATATCGACGATTTCCAGTGATATCAGAAGACATGATAGTATCACTGCATACATATTCAGGATAAAATAAACATGTTGCTTGGCTTTTAATTTATGGTAAAGAATTTTTTAAAATATCTTCTCCAGGAACACATTATATCAAAAAGGAGGCCTACGTAGATCCATCACCTGAGCACTTGCTTGTTGACTAGGTCTCATCTTGTTCATCTACCCTTCAACTACTTGGTTTTAATTCATCCTATGCATGAAAATAAACAGGTAGCCTTAGTTTGTGCTGTACTACTCCACACTGTCTGTATTCCAGCATAGTGCTGATTTTATAGACATAACAGAATGATCAATTTTGTCTCTGAAATTCCACCCACACATTAGTTTTCCCCGGTTCCTATCCACTATTTGTTCTCACAAACAAATTTAACCCAACAGCCCCCTGGAGACCCCTAGCGAAATAGGCAATAGAGATAGGAGAATTATTTGTCAGAGAGAGCTTTTGCCTAAAATTCTGCTTCTCCTCTACCCAGTTCCAAGATTCCAGTCATCTCCATCAAGTGTATAAATCTATTTGAAGACGCAAAAAAGCAATACATATGCCTGGTCCATAAAAGAATTCAATATTCAATAAATTTCAAAGTTAAATGTAGCACATGGAATATTGTTTAATGTCTTAACTTGCCCAGGTGCTGAAGAAGTAGAACAGATAATATTGAGAGTGGATTAGAAAGCCAAGGAGAGCCTGGTATATATAAATTACATAAACTGTAGTATATTCTTCACTAGAATTTTCTGTAAATTATATACAGCACATGTTTCTGGGTATAGTAATTTATAATAGATTGTAAGCGAAGTAGGACAATTAACAGGAAATAGGACTCCAGAAAGAAGGTGGTTTAAATAATGGAAAGCTGATCTTTGCACCTTTACAATTAGGTGAATTTTATACTCCCAAAAACAAGTAGAGAAAAAGATAAGAAAGTGAGCCCCCTCCTTTTGCCAACTAGAATGCTAATTTCTTCTTTGCCTACACTTAGACCATTCATTTTCTCTTTCTAAAAGTGATTATGAAGATAACTTCCTCTCAGAACCGAAAAGAAAACCATGGGTTATGGTATGGAGTTTGGATGATGTTATTGAAAGCAATTTGACTGTAGCTTTGGCTTTCCTAATATTATTGAAATCAAATCCAGTTTAGTGGAAGCCTTCAAGGTAGGAGAAATAGTGTCTTACATTTTAAGAAATACGTCCCTTGTCACCTCCACTGACCTACACTGAATAGAATGATTTGTGTTTAAAAATTGATTCATCTATACAATACTGAGTTGAGCCAGATACCAAGCCAGGGCACTACGTGGGGCCTATGGGAAGGCAGAAAGAATGATTATCTAAAGTAGTGATGCTACCTTAAGGAATGTGTTTTCTTTCTGAGACATCCTGCTTCTAGACTGACATCCTGCTTCTAGACCAACATCCTTACTCCAGCCTGCTCCCAGGCCTGACCCAATGAATCATCATATTTTCTTCTCACTACTGTTCTACAAATCACCTCCACTCGACTCAAACTATTACAGTCTATGTCCTCTAATCCTGCATTTCCAAGCCTTTGTGTGTGCTGTTTCTCTACCTAGAATCCCCTCTGCCTAAAATTCTCTATCTCTCAGCTTATCAAAAGCTATCTTTGGCCGGGCTTGGTGGCTCATGCCTGTAATCCCAGCACTTTGGGAGGCCGAGGCGGGCGGATCGCGAGGTCAGGAGACAGAGACCATCCTGGCTAACATGGTGAAACCCCGTCTCTACTAAAAACATAAAAAATTAGCGTGGTGGGGCGCGCCTGTAATCCCAGCTACTCGGGAGGCTGAAGCAGGAGAATCACTTGAACCTGGGAGGCGGAGGTTGCAGTGAGCCGAGATAGCGCCACTTGCACTCCAGTCTGGGCAACAGAGGTAGACTCTGTTTCAAAAAAAAAAAAAAAAAAAAAAAAAACTATCTTCCAAAATAGTTAGTTACTTAGTATGCCTTCAAGTTTCACTGACTGCTGTAAGCAGAGGTGACCTTACCTTCCCCAGAAACCCAGAGAATACATTTCCCTGATAAAAATGTCTTGTTTTTCAGGATCAACAATTAGACAGCAAATATTTGTTGCGTTCCTACTACATATGAGACATTCATCAGCATTGTACAGAGTATGTGATTAAGTGCTGAAAGCTGTGCAGTTCTAGGAAGTAAAAAACGACTGGCCACCTCAGAAATATATAATTAAACAGCATATTTAAATTAATGCAATTTTGCTCAAAAGCTCATATTTCTTAGGCAGTCTTTTAAAGAGGACTTCAAATCAGTGTGATATTAATATCCCAAGAGGATTGTATTTCAGTGTGGATCAACACTTTTTACTCAAACTTAATTTTTTTGTTTTTAAATAAAACGGATGAATTCAAATGTCTGCATATCAACATGAAAATGATCCCATCTTCTGCATAATTGAGTATTGTATTAATGTGTGCATAATGTAAAATCAATAAATAATTAACTGCTACTGATTGTAATTGAATGTTTTCTTTTTTTATAACTTTATTGTCAGCCATGATAAAAAATCTGAATATTTATACTGCACTAAATTAATTAGTGTGTCATTTCTACTACATACATCAGCAGTCAAATAATGCAGTAACATCTGTTTTTAATGTTTTAAAAATAGGCTATCCCTTATTAAGTAAAATAGGGAGTTACTGGAAATGTTTTCAGTGATTGGTGATTATGGCAGTATCTTCAAAAAGATCTAATAAAGTCATTTATATTTCCTCCAATTACTACATTTTAATCCACTGTCAATTATGAGTAACAATATGTAGACATAAACTCTTCCTTTCTGTGGAAATAAATTATGAATCTCTTTTGTTACATTGCTTTATAACAATGAATACTTATCAATTAGCAATGATAGGCTATTCCTCAACCACATTTTTTCAGAGAGTAAACATGTAAATATAGTGTAATTGGGTCAAAAAAAGTCAAACACTGGAGAATTTTATGTTGAAAGCCAATTTGTATTAATTTAACTATATTTTGTAATCAGTCCTTTCACGAAAGTCATATTCACTTATTTTGTAAGTATACAAAGCAAACAATGATGAAGACATTCTCACATGGAATTATTTGATATGGTCAATGAGACACTGTATTTTGGAAGTGACAAAAAAGTTCTTAACTGAGGTAAGGTGCCACATTTAGCAAATAAAAATACAAGATGTAATATTTAGAATATACTTATACAAAAGATTGTTCGTTGCTGACCTGAAATTCAAATTTAACTGGGCTTCCTGTATCCTAATTTGCTAAATCTGACAACCCTAACAGGGAGAATCAGGGAAGGCTTCTCAAGATAGGTGACACTTGAGCCATCAAGGATCAGTTGAAGTTATCCAGGTGAAAGGAGTAGAAAGTTGGGGCAAAGATGGCCTTTGACGCTGAGACATGGAAATAATAGTAAATATGGCTGGAGAGTAGGAGTGTGAGAGAGTGATGAGAAGTAGGAGTGAGCCCTTCAGTTCATCTAGAACATTAACTTCTAACTTCACAATAACAAATAAAAAAAAAAAAAACACTACTTGAATCTCCATCCCTTCTCTCCAAGTTCATAGCAAAGTCTGACAGGTTTAAACACAGCAGCAGTTGTCTAAAACAGTTGCTTAAAAGAATACAAAGCTCTGCTCTGTCCAAAATTGTATTTCTTTTTTCAGGACCTTCAACAAGTTTCACCTTGCTCTGTGAGGGTTAATCAGCCTTTGATTTTCTCCAATAAGAAACCTGATCACTTCTTTTTTCTTTGAACATAGAAGCAATGCAACTGTTTCTACCTGTCAGGATGTCAGGTCTCAATGTAATTTTACAGCTAGAGAAATCTGAGTGCTTCAACAGGTAATTTTTCACTGATAACTGATGGTTGATGAAAGAACCAAATACCTTTCATGTAAACTGATGTTTGTATCCTGTTCGGATGCTAACTTCTGAAAAGTTTTGTTCTAAGAATGAACTGTGGCTCACCAAGCTATTCACTAAAGTCTCTCAATATGAGGCCTTTACTCTGGCCAACCACACTGGTCTCTATTGTCTTGAGAAGGCTTTTCATACAAAGTATAAATTTCCATTGATACCAGTCATCATTACTCAGTGTCTCAAAAATTCATTTCAAACTCCATAAGATGTATATTTTCAAATAATTTATCCAATCTCTCAACTTAAAACAGAGTCAAATGTTGCATTTTGAGTCAAAAATGTCTGAAAAGAAAGAAAACATCATTTGGAAGATGTGACCTGCTCTCACGTTAAAATTATGTGTCATGGCTCTGTATCAACAAAAGCTGCTATAGTCACCATTAACAAGGACTCATACATCATTCTGCTTGAACTATAAATAGTAAATGTCTGTATATAAGGGCTATATGTGAAAATGAAAATGTTCTGTGTTTTATCGTATAACATGTTTACCTTTTTCTCATTCCTCATTTGGTTTTAATTTTATTTCAATTCTCTTGAAAGCAATGGACCATGTCCTCAACACGAAAAAGTCAGACACGCACAGCTCTCTGTCCTCTACTCCTCACAAATATACTCATTCTACCAACTCTACCAAAATTTCAGTCAAGGTTACTACATATCTTTATCTTTGGTGCAAACAAGTAAAAATTTCCATTTTACTGCTTTTCCTCCTGAGACCCATCCTGGAGTTACCGCCATCTAGTGACAAGTAAGAGTATTCAATCCTTTTATTTTTGAAATCTATATTGCTCAAAATTTAGAAAAGTAAAAAAAGTAGACATAATAAAATAAATATAAAATTCTGAAAGAACCTTTTAGTCCACAATATAGCTGCCACACCATTTTTTGACTATAAATGAACATAATTATTTTTGTGTTTTCAAATAAATCAGACTTCTTCCAGTTTTCCAGCATGTTAATGTTTTACTTTGGGATGAAAATGTAAACTATACAGATTATGTATTCCTCTGCACCTTGAACTTACTGAAATTCTATGCTAAAATAAAATTTCTTTTTTATTAGCTTACCAATTGTTTTCAATAACAATTTGCTGTTTTATAGAATATGCTTATATCTGTAGCTCTTGGCTTGAGAAGTTTCTGTGTGTACACATTCCTGAGATGTTGTCACAAATTATTTCCCTACATTCATGACTACATAAATATTGCTTTAAAAGAAAAAATGTTAACATTTGGTCAACATATTTTGGAATTCTTTCAGATATATGGTATTAAATAAATTATGCTAAATATATCTGTACAGTTAGCTGTGTAGAAGTTAGAAAGTTGGTTTTCTTTAAACAGTGCCCTACTATCATCTTTCAGGGTGACACACATAGTAACTTTAGTCTGGAAAGTGACCTATTGTTTAAAGTAGGAAACACAGGAATACTGCATAATTTTAGTTGAATTGTCTTAAGAATCAAATGCAGCCCTACTGGCTGCCAATGGGAACTTCCATGTAAATGTCCAAATTTTATGAAGAACTACCATTTAGGGTCAAATAGCATTTATTTAAAAATCATCTCTTCTGACTTTTAAGGTACAAAGAATTATGTACAATGTTTTGAATTGGTTCACTTTTTCCTCAGAAGCAGGATGAAAATATACACCGTGGATACTGAACACTCCAAATGGGCAATGTAGTCAGTTTGTCCAGTTGAAGAACTGCTGGGAGGCTTAAGCTAGTTCTTTTGGTGTTGATGGTAAGGAAAACCCTCGAATATGAATGGGTAAGCTCTGGGTCTCCAGGTTAGCAACACTTTTTATTTCCCACAGTCACTGGAACCAAATCTCATTAATCTATGTCTTCTAAAAAGTTATAGAGGTCATATTAAAATGTGTTTGATATAACAGTTTCTCTATCTGTGCTTGAAAAGGAAACAAAAGTAAAATTCTGAAGTTTAGATCTTTCATAATTTAATATCAGACTTGAATTCAAGAAATGTCACAGTAATGTTACTGTGTCATAATAATAGGAAGGTAAAGATTCAATTCAGCTGATGCTTTAGATACATATTATATAATATTGGTTTAATGTATACGAATAATGTGATAGAAATTATGTAGTTGTTTCAATATTAGGAAAACAAAAAATGTGGCCGTTAGGATTACAGGAGGCTGAGGCAGGTGGATCACCTGAGGTCAGGAGTTCAAGGCCAGCATAGCCAACATGGAGAAACCTCATCTCTACTAAAAATAAAAATACTACTAAAAATACAAAAGTTAGCTGGGCGTTGTGACGGGCACCTATAGTCCCAGCTACTAGGGAGGCTGAGGCAGGAGAATCACTTGAACCCGTTGGGTGGAGGTTGCAGTGAGTCACGATTGCACCACTTCACTCTATCCTGGGTGATAGAGTGAAACACTGTCAAAAAAAAAAAAGTTTATGTTTAAGATGATTTAGCATTAAAAAATGATCAAATTGATTAAACTAAAACAAAAATACCTCAAACATCAGAAGTACATTTTCTCAGCTTGATTTCATGTGTGCCCATTGCTTTATCTGTATTACAGGAATCTTGAATTTACAAAAAATAATAAAATATACTAACCAAATAAAATATTAATAGAGCAACAGGAATCATCAGAAGTAATATTTTCCTTTAGCTAGATAGACATGAAATGTTTCTTTTTGTGTGTCCAACAATGATCAGTGAGAATTTTATAGTAGAAATTTAAAGAATATTCATTAAGTAAAAGATTTATATTTTTCCAAATATTCAGGTAAATTCCTTTAATTCTGAGCTAGATATTTTACTTCCAATTTAAAATGAATGTTTTAGATTGATTTAGCATTTCTTTTTTGAAATCAGCATGTAGGTCATGGGTTAGGCTACAGTAACCTGTTGGAGGGCACTTTCCTTTGTCAGAACTTTAAAGTTGTAACACCCCAGAGAATCAGTAAAACACTACATTATTGTGTCCTGTGGCATCATAAGGCAAGAATTAGACTGAGAGGCATTTCCTAAATTTAGGACAAAGACAAGAAATTTAAAATCAAGCAACTCTTGATGTCTAAGTAATCTGAGGCAATTAAGTTCAGAGAAAATGTTGTTATGAACCTGTGGACTGAGACCCTAGTAGAGAAGCTTGTATTAAGAAGTGGGAAGTTCTCAAAAATAAAATTTTCACTATACAACTAAAAATAATCCCCAAGTAAAATAGAAGGAGAATGAATCTAAAGATGATGTGACCTTATAGGGACTTCTCAAATGAGCTTATGTTATAAAAGGAGGCACATAAAAGAAGGAAAAATAGACACACTCAAGGACAAATGTTTTTAAATTGCACATATATACCTATTTATACATTATCAAGAAGCTTGAAGCCAAGGAAGAAATGAGAACAGTAAAATTAGAAGAAAAATTTAAAACCCCCAAAAGTGTCTTTGAAAAAATTATATTTAGAATAAGCACAGAAAAGGACTACATTGATTTGTTTCTCAAATTTGGGAAGTTAATTTAAAATGCAGATTCTTCCCCTACTAAGTAAGTACAAATCTCCAGGGATGGGCCCATGAATCTGCATTTTAATTTCAAGTAAATTTATTTTTTTAAGTAGAAAGTGAATATAGTTTAGAAAGTCAAATAATGGTCTAGGCACAGTGGATCACACCTGTAATCCTAGCACTTTGGGAGGCCAAGGTGGGCGGATCACCTGAGGTCAGGGGTTTGACCAGCCTGACCAACATGATGAAACCTCGTCTCTACTAAAAATGCAAAAAAATTAGCTGGGCATGGTGGCGGGCACCTGTAATTTCAGTTACTCGGGAGGCTGAAGCAGGACAATCACTTGAACCCAGGAGGCAGAGGTTGCATTGAGTTGAGATCTAGTCACTGCACTCCAGCCTGAGTGAGAGAGTGAGAGACTCCTTCTCAAAAAAAAAAAAAAAAGAATGCTAAAAAGACAACCAGTAAATAATAGTTCTCTTGGTCAATTTATTCCCAAACTCCCAAACTTGCTCCTCAAAGGAGACAACTTTCAAATGTTTTAGTTATCTCTACTGGCATTTACCTCCACTTTTCTAAACAATATGCTTATATTGCTATTTCGTGATTAGTTACTCTTAAATTCTACCTTTTGACTTCCTATGATAGTAGATAAGGATTTAGACCTCTTACACTTCCACTCCTAAACTTCCCCTCCCCATGCTCTCAACATAGTTCTATCATAATTTAGGGAAAATTGAACTCAGCGTTTACATTGGTATGACCATATACATTTTGTTTGTAGTTGAACTGACTAGTATACTGTTATTGCTTTTCTTTTCTCTTATAATTTCTTCTTTTTCCAGGCATTAATAATTGACTCTTTTCCTTATATTCTGAGATTTTAATGAACCTACTACTAATTGTACCCAAACATTCCGTCATTGTTTCCATACTATTTTCCACACGAGCAAACATATCAGGTAATTCCTCAATTCCTGTTTTCCCAGAAGTATTCCCTCTTGGAGTCTTTTATCTCTTTGCTCTGCTTTGGGCTAGTTTCTCTTCAGGCCTATTGCATACCTGCTGTCCTGTATATTCCCTTTGCCATCATCCTGTGTTGGATTCCCTATTCCTTTAATCTTCCTTTTTCTCTATTTGCTCCCTTGTTTTGGTAGACCACGTCCTCCAGTCACTTTCCCAGTGCTGCATAGATGGCACTTTTTGAGTCCTAACATGTTTGAAAACATCTTTAGAGCTACTAATGCACTTTGTAGTGCCTCATTTTAATATGAATGGGAAGCCAAATATCATCATATATTTGAAGAAGGCCTCTGATATATTAAAAAAAAAAAGGCAAAATAAACAGAAGACTTGGAGAGGAAAAACGTAGAGCCAAAGCTAACAATAAAACGTTCAAAATAGGTAAATAATATCCTCAGACAGATGAGAGATGCTGCATCTGTGAATCAAGAACAAGATACTCTATGAACTTGCTGATGCTGAACACGTGCAGCTTCCTGGAATGTGGCATGCCCACCTAGCCGTACACATCTCTTTAACTGTATTCTTTGTGATATCTTTTATAGTAAACCAACAAATGCATTGAAAACATATGCTTGAGAGATAGATGCCACTGAAACTATGAATAATACAAGAACTTCACTTGATATTGAAGAGTATTCCGATACTGAGGTACAGAAACACCAAGTACTAAGTCTGGAAGCATGGCAAGACAAGCTTATTAAAGCATTTGGATACTTTTCATAAAGGTGAGAGTGGACTGAGGATGTTTTTTCCTCTATATGGAAAAGTATTAATAGTTGAGATGAAATGGTTTGCAGACCAGGGACACAGTGCAGTTGGTGTGAAAATCAGTGAACTTGAGATACAAGAATTTTTTACACAGCAAATCTTTCTTACTCAGAAGAACCAATCACTAAAATTCCTGAAACCAAATATATAAGAGTTCTTCAGGGAACATTTCGTTGTACTGTTGCAGCATTTTTTATCTTCCCAGAACAAATATTGACAAATTTGACAGGATTTGGAATAGAGGAGCATTAGTTACCATTAATCCAGGTGGATTGTGAATGCTCTGCAAGTATAATGTTGTTCCTCCTGAGAAAACAGTTTCAGTACCTCATGTGTGTTCTTTCTTATGATTCAAGTAAAAACATGCAGCCCACCATTTTTATGTTCCACATGCTTAAATTGAAAGGTTATTTGGTACAATATGCAGTATTTATTGTCTTGGAAATGCTGATGCTTTTGAAGAACAACATAAAAGTTGGGGAATTGACTACATTTTTGGAAAGATAGATCTACTTACAGAAAAGTAAATGAGACATAAATAAAATCAAGTAACATTACCATGATTTTGAGCAATTGAAAATTATGCTGAGGCTGGGCACAGTGGCTCATGCCTGTAATCCATCACTTTGGGAAGCCAATGAGGGAGGATTGCTTGAGATCAAGAGTTGGAGGCCAGCCTGGGCAATGTAGTGAGACCTCATGTCTACAAAATATAAAAATAAAAAATTAGCCTGGCATGGTGGCATGTGCCTGTAGTTCCAGCTACTCGGGGGGCTGAAGTTGGAGGATCACTTGAGCCTGGGACGTTGAGGTTGCGGTGAGCCTGACTGCACCACTGCACTCCAGCCTGGGTGACAGAGCAAGACGCTGTCAAAAAAAAAAAAAAAAAAAAAAAAAAAAAAAAAGAAAGAAAACAAAGAAAGTAAAGAAAATTATTCTAAGGCCTGAAAATGTAATAGATGGATTTTTGAAACTTGTTTATAAATCATACCATAGATCTTTGCTCAAAAATGCATATAACTTTTAGAAAAAAAAAAAAACACATACTAAAAAAGTTAAAATAGTGCCTTTGGAGGAGAGTATGATGTGTGAAAGGTGAAAGATTAAACCAGTGTGTCTTACTGACAGATTGCAAGATTTTTTATCAATCAGCATGTATTACTTCTATAATTAAAAAAAAAATGTAATGCATATTACTTATCTAAAATAGACATAGAAAAACTGACATTCTTTATGAAATTTAGAATGATTGAAGAAATGTAACACATAATAAGATTCAAAGTGGTCCCCAAAATTATGTAAAAGATATGCTTTTATTATAAATCTTTATCTTTTACTCAAATCCTGGCATCCCTTTTCACATTTTCTCCATATATAATTATACGTGTAACATAATCAAGAAATAAATTTTAATTGAACAAATCAATCTATATGGAACAAAATATTATTCCCAAACTGTAAGAATAAATTTTTTTAACAGTTTTTTTAAAATATACTATAAAAATAACTATCAGCGCACAAGACATAGATCCTAGAAATTTAAATACGACATAAAAAAGAATCAGTCTCATATTCTCTCTTGTTGGTTAATATCACATTGGTGGATATAGCCTAGTGTTCTCAAGGTTTAGTCTACGCCCAAATGACCTGAAGACTGTAGGCCAAGCTTGGAAGAATACACACAGACATTTATCCACTCTCTCTCCTGAAGCCCCCTTAAAATAATAGTAAGGGATTTTTTTAAGACTTTATTGTGACAGAGACACAAACAAACAAAGAAAAGGACATATGAGAAAACAAACACAAGGCTATGAACAGAAAATAAGAACTCACAAAAATTAGAATTGCTATCCTTAGAAAAATAAGAGAAGACGGAAAGTGGATAGAGGTGTGGCCAACTGACTTAGCTCATGTCAGAGAAAGATGTGCATAGGTTCACTTCTCATTGGACTACTACGCAGTCATTTTAGCCTTCAACAAATGCTTGGTGACATCTCTTATTTGTTCCATGTTCATCTATTCGTGTTCATTTGTTCTGTGTTCATCTGTTAAGGGTCTTAAGGCTTGTAGACACATAAGCTTCAATATCAACTGATTGGGCAGTAAGGCAAGCAGATCCTTAAATGTCAGCATTTAGAGTTCTTGAAGAAGAGACATCTTAACATTGATGGCCTAATTTATTAATTTTTTTCCTTTATGATTAGTGCCTTTTGTTTTCTGCTTAAGAAATGTATGCTGGAGGCTGGCCAAGATAGTCGACTAGAAGCAACTAATGTGTGCTGCACTCACGGAGAGAAATAGAAGGGCTAAGTAAATGCAGCACCTTCAACTGAAACATCCAGGTACACGCATTGGAATTCATCAAGGAAACAAAGAAAAGGCAGGATGACCCCCCATCTGGGAATGACATGGAGTTGGGGGGCTTCTCCTACCCAGGGAAGTGCTGAGAGGGTAAGGGACCCCGAGGAACCCACATTTCCCCCACGGATATTTGGAACCCTCAGGTCAGGAGATCCCCTCGTGTACCCACTCCACCAAGGCCTGCAGTCTCACATGCAGAGAGCTACATGGAGTCTTGGCAGAACAGCTGCTCAGGCACCCATAGAGCCCCAGGTGTCTTAGATACCCAGGCTCACCAGCAAAGCAGCTGCAACTCTAGCAAAGAAGCAGATTAGACCCCCCATAGGTAACCCAGGAAAAGGGCTTAATCCCGGGGACTGAGCAGTGACTAGCTGCAGGCCGTGCTCCTATGGTACCTTGCAGGATAAATCCCACTGGCTTGGAACCACAGCCAGCCACCAGTAGTAGCATTACACCTCCCTGAGACATAACCCCCAGAGGGACGGGTGGCCACCATCTTTGCTATTTTGCAGCCTTAGCCATTGTTGGCTTTAGACCTTAGAAAGTCTGAGCCAGCTAGGGGCTGAAGCC
Source organism: Homo sapiens (assembly GCF_000001405.40). Taxonomy (NCBI): domain Eukaryota; kingdom Metazoa; phylum Chordata; class Mammalia; order Primates; family Hominidae; genus Homo; species Homo sapiens. The sequence goes on along the minus strand of NC_000023.11, from coordinate 86,126,486 downwards.
AGCACAGTGCAGCTGCCCTATGAAAAAGTGACCAGACTGCTTTTTTATGTGGGTCCCGGATCCTGTTTCTGCTCAATGGGATAGATCTTCCCACCGGGGTCTTCAACCTCCCCCCAACTGGTATTTCCCGGCTAGCAGCAGCTCTAGGCCTCCCTGGGATGGAACTCCCAGAGGGAAGGGTGGGCCACCATCTTCACTATTTCACAGCCTTTGTCATTGCTGCCTTCAGGCTTAGGAGAGTCTGAGGCAACCGGGGGCTGGAGTGGAACCCCAGCATAGCACAGCACAACTGCTCTACAGAAAAGCAGACAGAATGCTTTCTTATATAGGCCCCTAATCCCATTCCTCCTCACTGGGAGGGACCTCCCAACCAGGACTTCTTGCTGGTATATTTGGGCTGGCAACAGATAATGGAAATGCCAAGGTAATTAGGGTCTGGAGCGGACCTCCAGCATACTGCAGCAGCCCTATGCAAAAGTGGCCAGACTGTTTGTTACAAGGGTCTCCAATCCTGTATCTTCTCACTGGGAGGGTCCTCCTCACCTGGATCTCCAGCAGTCTCCCACCAGGGCTGATCCAGTAGCAGCTCTGCAAGTCCCTGGGTCAGAGGTCCCAGTGGAAGGCGTGGGTTGCCATATTTGCTGTCCCGCAGCCCTTGCCCTTGCTGTCTCCAGGCTCTGGAGAGTCTGCAGGGACCAGGGGCTGGTCTGGACTCCCAGCACCAAGCACCAACCTCAAGGAAAAGTCGCTGGGCTTTTCTCCATGCAGGCCCCAGTCCTCGATTTTCCTCACTGGCCAGAGCTGCCCAACCTGGGACTCCAGCACAACCACCCTGCCCCCACCTGACTACTTCAATCAGAGGCATCCCAGTATTTCTCCGAGGAGAAAATCCCAGAGTTAACCCACAACCCTGATGCCACTGCACTTGTAGGGGTACCACCTAACAACCCTCAGACTGGGGAAGTAACAAAGGACCCAGTCACTATGCTGCCACCTCCAGCACACAGCAACCGCCATACAAAGATGAGTCTAGCCCCTCTTCCCTGGAAATCTCCAACCCCCACTCATCACCAAGAAGCACAATAAAAGAATACAGGAGCTGACAGGCAAAATAAGCAGTATAAAAAAGAATCTAACTGACCTAATAGACCTGAAAAACACACTACAGGAATTTCACAATGCTATCACAAATTTTAACAGCAGAATATACGAGGCTGAGGAAAGAATCTTAGAACATGAAGACTGGCTCTCTGAAATAAGACAACCAGACAAAAATAAAGACAAAAACATGAAAAACAATAAATAAAACCTCCAATAAATATGAGATTATGTAAAGAAGCCAAATCTATGAATCACTGGCATCCCTGAAAGGAACAGAAAGAAAGCAAACAACTTGGAAAGCATATTTCGAGATATTGTTCATTAAAACTTCCCCAAACTTGTTAAAGAAGCCAACGGTCAAATTCAGGAAATACAGAGAACCCTTGCAAGATTCTATACAAGGAGATCATCCTCACTTGTGCTTTTCAGCTCCACCATCCCCACTTAGGGATGATCTTCTTGTATAGAAGTGTAGCATGTATTTCAGTGCTGTCATCCCCATTTGGGGATGATCTCATCGTATACAATTTTGCAGGGGTTCTCTGTATTGAAATGAAAGAAAAAGATGTTAAAGGCAGCCAGAGAGACAGATCACATTACCTACAAAAGGAAGCACATCAGACTAACAGCACACCTTTCAGAAGAAACCCTACAAGCCAGAAGAGATTGGGGGCTTATATACAGCATTTTTAAAGAAAAGAAATTCCAACCAAGAATTTCACATCAGGCCAAACTAAACTTCATAAGTGAAGCAAAAATAAGATCATTTTCACACAAGCAAATCCTAAGGAAAGTTATTATCACCAGACCTGCCTTTCAAGACCTCCTGAAAGGAGCACTAAATATAAGGAAACACCATTACCAGCCAATACAAAAACATACTTAAGTACACAGACCAGTAACACTATAAAGCAACCACACAAACAAGTTTGCATAATAACCAGCTAACATCATGATGGCAGGATCAAATCCACATATATCAATATTAACCTTGAATGTAAATGGGCCAAATGCCCTAATTAACAGGCACAGAGTGGAAAGCTGGATAAAGAACCAAGAACCAATTGTATATTGACTTCAAGAGACCCATCTCACATGAGATGACACCCATAGGCTCAAACTAAGGTGACAGAGAAAAATCTACCTAGGAAATGAAAAACAGAAAAAAGCAGGAATTGCTGTCCTCATTTCAGACAAAATCGACTTTAAAGCAACAAAGATCAAAAAAGACAAAAAAGAGCATTACATAATGATAAAGGGTCAAACTCAACAAGAACACCTAACTATCCTAAATATTTATGCAACCAACACAGGATCACCTAGATTCATACAGCAAGTGCTCAGAGCCCTTCAAAGAGACAGACTCCCACACAATAATAGTGGGAGACTTTAACTCTCCACTGACTGACAGTGTTAGAAAGATCATCAAGGCAGAAAATTGACAGAGATATTTAGGTTCTGAATGCAGCACTGGATCAAATGGACCCGATAGACACCTACATAACTCTCCACCAAAAATCAACAGAATGTCATCACCAAATGGCACATACTCTGAAATCTACCACATAATCAGACATAAAACAATCCTCAGCAAATACAAAAGAACTGAAATCATACCAAATACTCTCTTGGACCATAGGGCCATGAAATTGAAAATAAAGACCAAGAAAATTGCTCAAAATCATACAATTTTATTCAAATTAAATAACCTGCTCCTGAATGACTTTTGGGTAAATAATTAAATAAGTAATTTAAATAATAATTAAAGCATAAACCAAGAAATTATTTGAAACTAATGAAAACAAAGATACAACATACTAGAATCTCTGGGACACAGCTAAGGCAGTGTTAAGAGGCAAATTTATAGCACTTGACACCCACATCAAAAAGCAGAAATATCTCAATGTAACAACCTAACATCCCAACGAAAGGAACCAGATAACCAAGGGGAAACCAAGCCCAAAAGAAGCAGAAGACAAGAAATAACCAAAATCAGAGCTGAACTGAGGGAGATTGAAACATGCAAAGCCACTGAAAATAGTAACAAATCTAGGAGTTTGTTTTCTGAAAACAAATAAATAAAATAGACCACTAACTATAATAATAAAAAAGAAAAGAGATACAATTGAAATAAACAATTAGAAACAACAAAGAAGATATTAATACTGAATTCATAGAAATATAAATAACCATCAGAGACTCTTATGAACACCTCTGTGCACACAAACTAGAAAATCTAGAAGAAATGGATAAACTCCTGGACACACACACCCTTCCAAGACTGAACCAGGAAGAAATTGAATCATTGCACAGACCAACAAGCTTTCACATTGAATCAGTAATAAATAGATTATCAACCAAAAAAAGGACCAGAGAGATTCACAGCTGAATTATACCAGATGTACAAAGAAGAACTGGTACCATTCCTACAGAAACTCTTCCAAAAAATTGAGAAGAGGGACTCTTCCTCAACTTATTCTGTGAGGTCAGCATCATCCTTATACCAAAACATGGCAGAGACATGGCAGAGACAAAACAAAAAAAAAGAAAACTTCAGGCCAATATCCTCGATGAACATCGATACAAGAATCCTCAACACAATACCGGCAAACCAAATCAAGCATCACACCAAAAAGCTTATCCGCCATGATCAAGTAGGCTTTATATCTGAGATTCGAGGCTGGTTCCACATATGCAAATCAATAAATATGATTCATCACATAAACAAAACTAAAGACAAAATCCACATTATCTAGATTAAGATGGCAGAAGGCAGGACTAGCTTGCAGCTCCTGCTCAGATGCACAGAACAGCATGTGGAGACTTACACTGTGAATTTTTGCTCCAAGAACGGTCACAGAAATATACCAGGAAAGCCAAGAGAATCCACAGACCCTTTGAAGGAACTGAATCACCACTGCAAGCTCCATGAGATGGCAAAAAACTGTGAGTCTGCTTGCTTTCTCAATGGGGAAGCTCATGGTCTGGTGCTAGTTCTCAGCCCTGGTCACTGGCTGCCTGGAAATAGACTCAGGATGTTGGAGGGGCACAGTGGGAGTGAGACTGGCCTTTGGGACTGTGGGCTGTGTGAGAGCAGGGTAAGGCCTGGGACTGCCAGTATTCCCCCACTCCCTGGCAACCTGTATGACTCAGCGGAGGCAACAATAATCCCCCTTGGGAATATAACTACATTGCACTGGGAATTACACCTCCATCCCCCACAGCAGCCATAGCAAACTCTGTACAAGGAGAGGCTGAGCTCAGACATACCTATCTCTGGCCCCACCTGGTGGTCTTTCTCTGCCTGCCCTGGTAGCCAAAGAAAAAGGTCATAATCTCTTGCAAACTCCATGGCCCTGGCCACCAACTGAGAAATGTGAATACTAAAGCAGGTGTCCCTACAGCAAGTTTACATCCTCCCTATAGGACCACAACTAATACACTCTTGAAAGTAGGCCACTTCCTGGCTAGAGGCCAACCAACACAACCAAAACCAACACACTGAACAAAAACACAACCAAGGTCCCACACACAGTCTACCTCACTCCCCTGTTACCTCTACTGCAGCAGGTGCTGGTATGCACAGCTTAGAGACCTGAAGATGGATCACATCACAGGAGTCTTTGCAGATACTCTCCAGCACCAGCTCAAATCCTAGTAACTCTGCTGAGTGTCTAGACCCAGAAGATCAAAAACAGTCACTACAGATCAACTCTCAGGAAGCCCCATTCCTAGGGAAAGAAGAAGAACATCACATCCAGGGAGCACCCCATGGGGCAAAAGAATCTGAACTGCAGCCCTTGAATCCCAGATTTTCCCTCTAACATAGTCTACCCAAATGAGAAGGAACCAGAAAAACAATTCTGATAATATGACAAAACAAGGTTTTTTAACAACTCCAAAAGATCATACCAGCTCACCAGCAATGGATCCAAACCAAGATGAAATATCTGAATTGCCAGAAAAATAACTCAGAAGGTTGATTATTAAGCTAATCAAGGAGGCACCAGAGAAAGGTGAAGTCCAACTTAAAGAAATGAAAAACATAATACAGGATATGAAAGAAAAATACTTCAGTGAAATAGATCGCATAAAGAAAAAACAATCACAACTTCTGGAAATCAAGGATGCATTTAGAGAAATGCAAAATGAACTGAAGAGTCTCAGCAATAGAGTTGAACAAGCAGAAAAAAGAAGGTCAGAGCTCAAAGACAAGGCTTTCAAATTAACTCAATCCATCAATGACCGAAAAAAAAATTTAAAAATGAACAAAGCCTCCAAAAACTTTGGGACTATGTTAAACGTCCAAACCTAAGAATAATTGGTGTTCCTGATGAAGAAGAGAAATCTAAAAGTGTAAAACATATTTAAGGGAATAATCAAGGAAAATTTCCCCCAGCTTTGCTAGAGACCTAGACATCCAAATACAAAAAGCTCAAGGAACACCTGAGAAATTTATCACAAAAAGATCATCACTTATGCACGTAGTCATCAGGTTATCTAAAGTCAAGATGAAGGAAAGAATTTTAAGAGCTGTGAGGCAAAAGTATTAGGTAACCTCTAAACGAAAACCCATCAGAATAACAGCAGATTTCTCAGCAGAAAACCTTCAGGCTAAAATGGATGGGGTCCTATTTTTAGCCTCCTTAAACTAAACAATTATCAGCCAAGAATTTTGTATCCAGCAAAACTAAGCTTCATAAATGAAGGAAAGTTACAGTCTCTTCCAGACAAACAAATGCTGAGAGAATTAATTCACCACAACCAAGCCAGCACTACAAGAATTGCTAAAAGGAGCTCTAAATCTTGAAATAAATCCTCAAAATACACCAAAATAGAACCTCTTTAAAGCATGAATTGCATAGGCCCTATATAACAATAGCACAGTGAAAAAGAAACCAAGGTATTCAGGCAACAAATAGCAGAATGAATAGAAGAGGACCTCACATCTCAATACTAACATTGAATGTAAATAGCCTAAATGCTTCGCTTAAAGGATACAGAATGACAGAATGGATAAGAATTTGTCAACCAAGTTTCTGCTGTCCTCAGGAGACTGACCTAACACGTAAGGACTCATATAAACTTAAGGTGAAGGGATGGAAAAAGGTATTCCATGCAAGTGGACACCAAAAGTGAGCAGGAGTAGCTATTCTTATATCAGACAAAACTAACTTTAAAGCAACAGCAGTTTAAAAAGACAAAGAAGGACATTATATAATGATAAAACAACTCATTCAACAGGAAAATGTCATAATTTTAAATATATATGCACCCAACACTGGAGCTCCCAAATTCATAAAACACTTAATAGTAGACCCAAGAAATGAGATAGATGGCAACACAGCAAAAGTGTAGGACTTTAATACTCCACTGACAGCACTAGACAGGTAATCAAGACAGAAAGTCAACAAAGAAACAATGGACTTAAACTATGCCCTACAACAAATGGACTTAACAGATATTTATAGAACGTTCTACCAAACATCTACAGAATATACATTCTATTCATCAGCACACGGAACATTCTCCAAGATAGACCATATGATAGGACACAAAACATGTCTCAGTAAATTTCAGAAAATCAAAATTATATCGAGTACTCTCTCAGACCACAGTGAGATAAAATTGAAAATCAACTCCAAAAGGAAGCCTCTAACACATGCAAACACATGGCAATTAAATAACCTGCTCCTGAATGATCATTGGATCAACAATGAAATCAAGATAAAAATTAAAACATTCTTTGAACTGAATGATAATAGCAACACACCCTATCAAAGACTCTGGGATACAGCGAAAGTAGTGTTAAAAAGAAAGTTCATAGCATTAAATGCCTATATCTAAATGTCTGAAAGAGTGCAAATAGACAATCTAAGGTCACACCTTATGGAACTGGAGAAACAAGAACAATCCAAACCCAAACCCAGCAGAAGAAAAGAAATAATGAAGATCAGAGAAGAACTAAATGAAATTAAAACAACAACAACAAAATACAAAATAGAAATGAAAAAAAACTGTTTTTTTTTTTTAAATAGAGGGAGGAGCCAAGATGGCCGAATAGGAACAGCTCCGGTCTACAGCTCCCAGCGTGAGCGATGCAGAAGATGGGTGATTTCTGCATTTCCATCTGAGGTACCGGCTTCATCTCACTAGGGAGTGCCAGACAGTGGGCACAGGTCAGTGGGTGCGCACACCGTGCGCGAGCCGAAGCAGGACGAGGCATTGCCTCACTTGGGAAGCACAAGGGGTCAGGGAGTTCCCTTTCCTAGTCAAAGAAAAGGGTGACAGACGGCACCTGGAAAATCGGGTCACTCCCACCCGAATACTGCGCTTTTCCAACAGGCTTAAAAAATGGTGCACCACGAGATTATATCCCGCACCTGGCTCAGAGGGTCCTACAACCACGGAGTCTCACTGATTGCTAGCACAGCAATCTGAGATCAAACTGCAAGGCGGCAGCGAGGCTGGGGGAGGGGCGCCTGCCATTGCCCAGGTTTGCTTAGGTAAGCAAAGCAGCCGGGAAGCTTGAAATGGGTGGAGCCCACCACAGCTCAAGGAGGCCTGCCTGCCTCTGTAGGCTCCACCTCTGGGGGCAGGGCACAGACAAACAAAAAGACAGCAGTAACCTCTGCAGACTTAAATGTCCCTGTCTGATAGCTTTGAAGAGAGCAGTGGTTCTCCCAGCATGCAGCTGGAGATCTGAGAAGGGGCAGCCTGCCTCCTCAAGTGGGTCCCTGACCCCTGACCCCTGAGCAGCCTAACTGGGAGGCACCCCCCAGCAGGGGCAGACTGACACCTCACACGGCCGGGTACTCCAACAGACCTCAGCTGAGGGTCCTGTCTGTTAGAAGGAAAACTAACAAACAGAAAGGACATCCACACCAAAAACCCATCTGTACATCACCATCATCAAAGACCAAAAGTAGATAAAACCACAAAGATGGGGGAAAAACAGGGCAGAAAAACTGGAAACTGTAAAAAGCAGAGCGACTCTCCTCCTCCAAAGGAACGCAGTTCCTCACCAGCAACAGAACAAAGCTGGATGGAGAATGACTTTGACGAGCTGAGAGAAGAAGGTTTCAGATGATCAAATTACTCCGAGCTATGGGAGGACATTCAAACCAAAGGCAAAGAAGTTGAAAACTTTGAAAAAAATTTAGAAGAATGTATAACTAGAATAACCAATACAGAGAAGTGCTTAAAGCAGCTGATGGAGCTGAAAACCAAGGCTCGAGAACTACGTGAAGAATGCAGAAGCCTCAGGAGCCGATGCAATCAACTGGAAGAAAGGGTATCAGCGATGGAAGATGAAATGAATGAAATGAAGTGAGAAGGGAAGTTTAGAGAAAAAAGAATAAAAAGAAATGAGCAAAGCATCCAAGAAATATGGGACTATGTGAAAAGACCAAATCTACGTCTGATGGGTGTACCTGAAAGTGACGGGGAGAAGGGAACCAAGTTGGAAAACACTCTGCAAGATATTACCCTGGAGAACTTCCCCAATCTACCAAGGCAGGCCAACATTCAGATTCAGGAAATACAGAGAACGCCATAAAGATACTCCTCGAGAAGAGCAACTCCAAGACACATAATTGTCAGATACACCAAAGTTGAAATGAAGGAAAAAATGTTAAGGACAGCCAGAGAGAAAGGTCGGGTTACCCTCAAAGGGAAGCCCATCAGACTAACAGGTGATCTCTCGGCCGAAACTCTACAAGCCAGGAGAGAGTGGGGGCCAATATTCAACATTCTTAAAGAAAAGAATTTTCAAGCCAGAATTTCATATCCAGCCAAACGAAGCTTCATAAGTGAAGAAGAAATAAAATCCTTTACAGACAAGCAAATGCTGAGAGATTTTGTCACCACCAGGCCTGCCCTAAAAGAGCTCCTGAAGGAAGTGCTAAACATGGAAAGGAACAACCGGTACCAGCCGCTGCAAAATCATGCCAAAATGTAAAGACCATCGAGACTAGGAAGAAACTGCATCAACTAACGAGCAAAATCACCAGCTAACATCATAATGACAGGATCAAATTCACACATAACAATATTAACTTTAAATGTAAATGGACTAAATGCTCCAATTAAAAGACACAGACTGGCAAATTGGATAAAGAGTCAAGACCCATCAGTGTGCGGTATTCAGGAAACCCATCTCATGTGCAGAGACACATATAGGCTCAAAATAAAAGGATGGAGGAAGATCTACCAAGCAAATGAAAAACAAAAAAAGGCAGGGTTTGCAATCCTAGTCTCTGATAAAACAGACTTTAAACCAACAAAGATCAAAAGAGACAAAGAAGGGCATTACATAATGGTAAAGGGATCAATTCAACAAGAAGAGCTAACTATCCTAAATATATATGCACCCAATACAGGAGCACCCAGATTCACAAAGCAAGTCCTGAGTGACCTACAAAGAGACTTAGACTCCTACACATTAATAATGGGAGACTTTGACACCCCACTGTCAACATTGGACAGATCAATGAGACAGAAAGTCAAAAAGGATACCCAGGAATTGAACTCAGCTCTGCACCAAGCTGACCTAATAGACATCTACAGAACTCTCCACCCCAAATCAACAGAATATACATTTTCTTCAGCACCACACCACACCTATTCCAAAATTGACCACATACTTGGAAGTAAAGCTCTCCTCAGCAAATGTAAAAGAACAGAAATTATAACAAACTATCTCTCAGACCACAGTGCAATCAAACTAGAACTCAGGATTAAGAATCTCACTCAAAACCGCTCAACTACATGGAAACTGAACAACCTGCTCCTGAATGACTACTGGGTACATAATGAAATGAAGGCGGAAATAAAGATGTTCTTTGAAACCAACAAGAACAAAGACACAACATACCAGAATCTCTGGGATACATTCAAAGCAGTGTGTAGAGGGAAATTTATAGCACTAAATGCCCACAAGAGAAAGCAGGAAAGATCCAAAATTGACACCCTAACATCACAATTAAAAGAACTAGAAAAGCAAGAGCAAACACATTCAAAAGCTAGCAGAAGGCAAGAAATAACTAAAATCAAAGCAGAATTGAAGGAAATAGAGACACAAAAAGCCCTTCAAAAAATGAATGAATCCAGGAGCTGGTTTTTTGAAAAGATCAACAAAACTGATAGACCACTAGCAAGACTAATAAAGAAAAAAAGAGAGAAAAATCAAATAGACGCAATAAAAAATGATAAAGGTGATATCACCACCGATCCCACGGAAATACAAACTACCATCAGAGAATACTACAAACACCTCTCCACAAATAAACTAGAAAATCTAGAAGAAATGGATAAATTCCTCAATACATCCACTCTCCCAAGACTAAACCAGGAAGAAGTTGAATCTCTGAATAGACCAATAACAGGTCTGAAATTGTGGCAATAATCAATAGCTTACCAACCAAAAAGAGTCCAGGACCAGATGGATTCACAGCCTAATTCTACCAGAGGTACAAGGAGGAACTGGTACCACTCCTTCTGAAACTATTCCAATCAATAGAAAAAGAGGGAGTCCTCCCTAACTCATTTTATGAGGCCAGCATCATTCTGATTCCAAAGCCGGGCAGAGACACAACCAAAAAAGAGAATTTTAGACCAATATCCTTGATGAACATTGATGCAAAAATCCTCAATAAGATACTGGCAAAACGAATCCAGCAGCACATCAAAAAGCTTATCCACCATGATCAAGTGGGCTTCATCCCTGGGATGCAAGGCTGGTTCAACATACGCAAATCAATAAATGTAATCCAGCATACAAACAGAACCAAAGACAAAAACCACATGATTATCTCAATAGATGCAGAAAAGGCCTTTGACAAAATTCAACAACACTTCATGCTAAAAACTCTCAATAAATTAGGTATTGATGAGATGTATTTCAAAACAATAAGAGCTATCTATGACAAACCCACAGCCAATATCATACTGAATGGGCAAAAACTGGAAGCATTCCCTTTGAAAACTGGCACAAGACAGGGATGCCCTCTCTCACCACTCCTACTCAACACAGTGTTGGAAGTTCTGGCCAGGGCAATTAGACAAGAGAAGGAAATAAAGGGTATTCAATTAGGAAAAGAGGAAGTCAAATTGTCCCTGTTTGCAGACGACATGATTGTATATCTAGAAAACCCCATTGTCTCAGCCCAAAATCTCCTTAAGCGGATAAGCAACTTCAGCAAAGTCTCAGGATACAAAATCAATGTGCAAAAATCACAAGCATTCTTATACACCAACAACAGACAAACAGAGAGCCAAATCATGAGTGAACTCCCATTCACAATTGCTTCAAAGAGAATAAAATACCTAGGAATCAAACTTACAAGGGATGTGAAGGACCTCTTCAAGGAGAACTACAAACCACTGCTCAAGGAAATAAAAGAGGATACAAACAAATAGAAGAATATTCCATGCTCATGGGTAGGAAGAATCAATATCGTGAAAATGGCCGTACTGCCCAAGGTAATTTACAGATTCAATGTCATCCCCATAAAGCTACCAATGCCTTTCTTCACAGAATTGGAAAAAATTACTTTAAAGTTCATATGGAACCAAAAAAGAGCCCGCATCGCCAAGTCAATCCTGAGCCAAAAGAACAAAGCCGGAGGCATCACACTACCTGACTTCAAACTATACTACAAGGCTACAGTAACCAAAACAGCATGGTACTGGTACCAAAACAGAGATATAGATCAATGGAACAGAACAGAGCCCTGAGAAATAATGCTGCATATCTACAACTATCTGATCTTTGACAAACCTGAGAAAAACAAGCAATGGGGAAAGGATTCCCTATTTAATAAATGGTGCTGGGAAAACTGGCTGGCCGTATGTAGAAAGCTGAAACTGGATCCCTTCCTTACACCTTATACAAAAATTAATTCAAGATGGATTAAAGACTTAAACGTTAGACCTAAAACCATAAAAACCCTAGAAGAAAACCTAGCCATTACCATTCAGGACATAGGCATGGGCAAGGACTTCATGTCTAAAACACCAAAAGCAATGGCAACAAAAGACAAAATTGACAAATGGGATCTAATTAAACTAAAGAGCTTCTGCACAGCAAAAGAAACTACCATCAGAGTGAACAGGCAACCTACAAAATGGGAGAAAATTTTTGCAACCTACTCATCTGACAAAGGGCTAATATCCAGAATCTACAATGAACTCAAACAAATTTACAAGAAAAAAACAAACAACCCCATCAAAAAGTGGGCAAAGGACATGAACAGACACTTCTCAAAAGAAGACATTTATGCAGCCAAAAAACACATGAAAAAATGCTCACCATCACTGGCCATCAGAGAAATGCAAATCAAAACCACAATGAGATACCATCTCACACCAGTTAGAATGGCAATCATTAAAAAGTCAGGAAACAACAGGTGCTGGAGAGGATGTGGACGAATAGGAACACTTTTACACTGTTGGTGGGACTGTAAACTAGTTCAACCATTGTGGAAGTCAGTGTGGCGATTCCTCAGGGATCTAGAACTAGAAATACCATTTGACCCAGCCATCCCATTACTGGGTATATACCCTAAGGTCTATAAAACATGCTGCTATAAAGACACATGCACACGTATGTTTATTGCGGCATTATTCACAATAGCAAAGACTTGGAACCATCCCAAATGTCCAACAATGATAGACTGGATTAAGAAAATGTGGCACATATACACCATGGGATACTATGCAGCCATAAAAAGTGATGAGTTCATGTCCTTTGTAGGGACATGGATGAAATTGAAAATCATCATTCTCAGTAAACTATCACAAGAACAAAAAACCAAACACCGCATATTCTCACTCATAGGTGGGAATTGAACAATGAGAACACATGGACACAGGAAGGGGGACATCACACTCTGGGGACTGTTGTGGGGTCGGGGGATGGGGGAGGGATACGATTGGGAGATATACCTAATGCTAGATGATGAGTTAGTGGGTGCAGCGCACCAGCATGGCACATGTATACGTATGTGACTAACCTGCAGATTGTGCACATGTACCCTAAAACTTAAAGTATAATAATAAATAAATAAATAAATAAATAAATAAATAAATAAAAATAAATCATTGAATTCAAAAAAAAAATTTAAAGGCCAATCTCCCTAATGAACAAAAATAAAAATTTTATTATATATTATAAATTTGAATCCAGTGATAAAATAAACAATTGTTATCATCAAGTTTGGTTTACTCTATGAATTCAAAGGTGACATGATATTTTTCAAAATTATTTATTATATCAAAGTTCTGATAGTTTTAATTTTATGAGTACTCTCTCTTCCTATGGTACATTTAACATTTTTTAAGAAAATACCTTAATATTGCTGCGTGTGGTGGCTCATGCCTGTAATCCCAGCATTTTGGTAGGCCAAGGCGGGCTGAGTACTAGTGGCCAGGAGTTCAACGCCAACCTGGCCAACGTGGTGAAACCCTATCTCTACAAAAAACACACAAACAAAAAACCTTAATATGAGCTTAATAAATATTGCATTCATTATAATAATAAAAAATTAACTTTTGTCAAGAAAAATCAATTTATCATCAATTATTTGAATGGATAAACATCAAGGAAAAGTGAGAAAAGAGGTATAAATTAGAAAAAGTCTATGATAGTCTCAATAAATGAGTTAGGATGAAGTTTAAAATTCTATACCAGTTTGTAATAAGAAAAACATTTCTAGCAAACCAGGAATAGAAGAACACGTCCTTAGCATATGAAACAAAACCTTATAGCAAACGTCATATTTAGTGGTGAAATACTAAAAGTTTTCCTCCTTAGAGTGGCAATAAAACAAGAACACCTGTTGTTGTCACTTACATTCAACACTGTAATGAAAGTCCTAACCAGTGAAATAGAGTAAAAAAAAATAAATAAAAGGTAAAAGGATTAGAAGTGAAAAAATAAGAGATTTATTATTTGCTTATGACACTGTTATGTATTGAAAAGATTAAAATAATCTATACACATCTGTTAAAAATAGTAAGTGTATTAGGAAAGTTCACTGGATACAAGTTCAATACACAAAAATCAATCAGTATTAAAATTTGAGAAAAAAAAGATACTTTTTATGATAGCATCAAATACCTAAAAACAAATCTAACAAAACATGTGCAAGAGTCCTATACAGGAAACTATCAGACATTATTGAGAGAAATTAAGGAGGACCAAAATAAATGGAGGGATATGCCATGCTAATTGAAAAACTCAATATTATAAAGACATCAATTAGCTGCAAATTGGTATGTTTTGACCCCTATGAAAACTTCAGCAGATTTTATGTAGGAACTGACAAGTCAATTCTTATTATTTTTTTTAAGAGTCTTGCTCTGTCGCCCAGGCTGGAGTGCAGTGGTATGATCTCGGCTCACTACAACCTCCGCCTCCCGGATTCAAGCAATTCTTGTGTCTCAGCCTCCAGAGTAGTTGGGATTACAGGCGTCCGCCACTACGACTGGCTAATTTTTGTATTTTTAGTAGAGATGAGGTTTCATCATGTTGGCCAGGCAGGTCTCAAACTCCTGACCTCAAGTGATCCACCCACCTTGGCCTCCCAAAATGCTGGGATTACAGGTATGAGCCACCACACTCAGCCATGTTAAGGTGTTTTCTTAAAAAATACTTTAAATATACCATAGGATGAGAGAGCACTCATGAAACTAACGCTATCAAAACTTTGATATAATAATTAAATTATTTTCAAAAATATCATATCACCTTTGAATTCATAGAAGAAACCAAACTTGATCATGACGATTGTTCATTTTATTACTGGATTCAATTTTATAATAAATAATAAAAATTTTTATTTATGTCCACTAAGGAGATTGGCCTTTAATTTTCTTATTATGTCCTTGTCAGATTTTCTCATAAGTGTTATTATAATCACATAAAATGAGTTCAGAAACATTCCTTCCTTTTCTATCCTCTGGAAGAATTTGTGTGACATGGATGTTATTTCTCTCTTAAATATTTGAAGAAATTTACTATCATCTGAGGCTAAACTATTCTTTGTGGGAAAGTTTTTAATTACAAATTTGATTTCTTTAATAGATATAATATTATTCAAATGTTATACTTCTTGTGATAGTTTTGGTAAATTGTGTTTTTTAAGGAAGTTTTCTATTTTATCTAAAATTGAATTTATTGTCATAAGATTAAATCAATCTCTTATCTTTTTAATATCTGTAGAATCTCAGTGGTATCCCTCTTTTCACCCAAGATGTTGGCAATTTGTGTCTTATCTTTTTTTGTCTTGATCAGTTTTGCCAAGAGTTAATTAATTATATTAGTCTTTCCAAAGAACTAAATTTAAGCTTGTACTCTTACTCTATTAAATGTTTTCTTTCTCTTTAATTAATTTCTGCCTTTATCCTTATTATTTTCCATCACCTTTAATTAGGTAGAATTTGTTCTTCTCCTAGTTTATTTATTTATTTTTATTTATTTATTTATAAGGATAGACAGGTGTATATATTTATGGGGTACATAAGATGTTTTCATACAAAGATGCAATATGAAACAAGCACATCATGGAGAATGGGGTATCCATCCCCTCAAGCACTTATCCATTGTGTTTTGAACAATCCTATTACATACCTTAAGTTATTTTAAAATGTACAATTAAATATTGTTGACTATAGTCACCCTGTTGAGATACCACAAAGTAGGTATTATTCATTCTTTCTATTTTTTATTTTCTATTAACTTTCTATTTCCATTTTCTATTAACCATTCCCATCTCCCTCAGCCCCCACTACCTTTCCCAGCCTCCAGTAACCACCCTTCAACTCTCTCTGTTCATGAATTCAATTGTTTTTATTTTCAGATCCCATACTTAAGTGAGAACATGTGATATTTATCTTTCTGTGCCTGGATTATTTCGCTTATTCTCTTATCCGCTTATTCATTTATTACTTATTCACTTATATTCTTTTATGGCTCAAGAGTACCCCATTGTGTATATGTACCACATTTTCTTTGTCCATTCATCTCTTGATAGACATGTAGGTTGCTTCCCAAGCTTAGCTATTGTAAATAGTGCTGCAACAAACACAGGAGTGCAGATATCTCTTCAATATACTGATTTCCTTACTTCTGGGTATATACCCAGCAGAGAAATAGCTGGATCACATGGTAGCTCAGTTTATAGTGTTTTGAGGAATCTGTTTTCCATAGCGGTTGTAGTAATTTACATTCCCACCAACATTGTCCAAGGGTTACTTTTTCCCCACATTCTCACCAGCATGTATCATTGCCCACTTTTTGGACATAAGCCATTTTAACTGGGGTGCAATGATATCTCATTGCAGCTTTGATTTGCATTTCTCTGATGATCACTGGTTTTGAGCACCTTGGCCATTTGTATGTCTTCTTTTGAGAAAGGTCTATTCAAATCTTTTGCCCAATTTTTGTTCAGCTTACTAGATTTTCTTCCTACAGAGCTTTTTGAACTCTCTATATATCCTGGTTATTAATCCCTTGTCAGATGAGCAGTTTGCAAATATTTTTCCCATTCTATGAGTTTTCTCTTCACTTTGTTGATTGTATCCTTTACAGTGCAGAAGCTTTTTAACCTGATGTGATTCCATTTGTCCATTTCTGCTTGGTTGCCTGTGCTTATGGGGTATTGTTTAATATATTTTTGCCCAGATCAATGAATTGGAGATTTTCCCCAAAGTTTTCTTGTAGTACTTTTATAGTTTGAGGTGTTAGATGGAAGTCTTTAATTCACTTTAATTTGACTTTTGTATGAGGTGAGAGAGAGGGGTCCAGTTTAATTTTTCTGAATATGAATATCCCGTTTTTCTAGTATCATTTATTGAAGAAGCTGTCTTTTCCCCCAGTGGATCTTCTTAGCAATTTTGTCAAAAATGAGTTCACTGTAGTTGTGTGTATTTTTTTCTGTCTTCTCTATTCTGTTCCATTGGCCTATGTGTCTGTTTTATGCCAGTACTATGCTGTTTCAGTTCCTATAGCTCTGCAGTGTAATTTGCAGCCAGGTAATGTGACTCCTCCAGGTTTTTTTCTTTTTAATTTGGATAGCTTTGGCTGCTCTGGATATTTTGTGGTTCCATATAAATTTAAAGTTGTT
This sequence comes from Homo sapiens, assembly GCF_000001405.40. Lineage (NCBI taxonomy): Eukaryota > Metazoa > Chordata > Mammalia > Primates > Hominidae > Homo > Homo sapiens. Next base: position 86,109,258 of record NC_000023.11, on the reverse strand, counting down.
TTTCTATTTCTGTGAAGAATGTCACTGATACATTGATAAGGATTGCATTGAACATGTAGATTGGTTTTGATACTATGGACATTTTAACAATAGTCATTCTTCCAATCCATGTACATGGGTTATTTTTCCATTTTTTGGTCTTCTCTTCAATTTTTTTTTTCTTTTCCTCTTCAGTTTTTTTCATCAGTGCTTTATAGTTTTCATTATAGAGATCTTTCATTTCTTTGGTTAAGTTAATTTCTAGGTATCCAATTTTATGTATGGCTATTGTAAATGAAATTACATTTTTTCATATTATTCACTATTGGCATATGAAAATGCTACTGATTTTTGTATGTTGGTTTTGTATCCTGCAACATTACTGAATTTATTAGTTCTAACAGCTTTCTTGTGGAGTCTTTAGGTTTTGCCAAATACAAGATTACATCACCTGTAAACAAGGATAATTTGACTTCTTCCTTTCTAATTTGGAGGCCATTTATGTCTTTCCCTTGTCTAATTGCTGCAGCTAGGACTTCCAGTACTATGTTAAATAATAGTGGTGACAGTGGGTGATATGGTTTGGCTCTGTCTCCCTAATCAAATCTCTCACCTTGAATTGTAATAATCCCCACGTGTCAAGGGTGGGGCCAGGTGGAGATAACTGAATCATGGGGATTGTTTCCCCACACTGTACTCAATAGTGAGTGAGCTCCAATGAGGTCTGATGGTTTTATAAGGAGCTTCCTCTTTCATTTGGCTCTCATTCTCCTTCCTGCTGCCCTGTGAAAAGGTGCCTTCTGCCATGATTTTAAGTTTCCTGAGGCTATCCCAGCCATGCAGAACTGTGTGTCAATTAAACATCTTTTCTTTATAAATTACCCAGTCTCAGGCATTTCTTCACAGCTGCATGAGAACAAACTAATACAGTAAATTGGTACCACAGGGAGTGGCATGCTGCTATGCAGATACCCAAAAACGTGTAAGTGACTTTGGAACTGGGTAACAGGCAGATGTTGGAACAGTTTGAAGGGCTCAGAAGAAGAAAGGAAAATGTGGGATAGTTTGGAGTTTCCTAGAGACTTGGAGGGCTCAGAAGCCAGAAAGATGTGGGAAGGTTTGGAACTTCCTAGAGACTAGTTGAATGGCTTTGACCAAAATGCCAATAGTGATATCAACAATGAAGTCCAGGCTGAGGTGGTCTCAGATGGAGATGAGAAACTTGCTGGAAAACAGAGTAAAGGTCACTATTGCTATGCTTTAGCAAATAGTCTGGTGGCTTTTTGCCCCTGCCCTAAGATCTGTGGAACTTTGGACTTGAGAGAGATGATTTAGGGTATCCGGCAGAAGAAATTTCTAAGCAGCAAAATGTTCAAGAGAAGCATAGCATAAAAGTTTCAAAAATTTTCAGCCTGGCAATGGGATAGAAAAGAAAAACCTATTTTCTGGGGAGAAATTCAAGCTGGCTGCAGAAATTTGCATAAGTAATGAGGTGCTAAATGCTAATCATCAAGACAATGGGGAAATGCCTCCAGGTATGTCAGAGACCTTCCGATCACAAGCGTAGAGGCTTAGGAAGGAAAAATGGTTTTGTGGGCAAGGTCCAGGCCCCCCAGCTGTGTGCAGCCTTGGGACTTGGTGCCCTGCATCCCAGCAGCACCAGCCATGGCTAAAAGAAGCCAACATACAGCTCAGGCCATTGCTTCACAGGGTTCAGGCCCCAAACCTTGGCAGCTTCCACATGGTGTTGGGCCTGCAGGTGCACAGAAGTCAAGAGTTGAGGTTTGGGAACCTCTGGCTAGATTTCAGAGGATGTATGGAAAGGCCTGGATGTCCAGGCAGAAGTTTGCTGCAGGGCAGAGTCCTCATGGAGAACCTCTGCTAGGGCAATGCAGAAGGGAAATGTGGGGTTGGAGCCCCTACCCAGAGTCCCCACTGGGGCACTGTCTTGTGCAGCTTTGAGAAGAGGGCCACTATCCTCCAGACCCAGAACAGTAGATCCACCGACAGTTTGCATAGTGTGCCTGGAAAAGCCACAGACACTCAAGGCCAGCCCATGAAAGAAGCCAGGAGTGGAGCTGTACCTTGCAAAGCCATAGAGTCAGAGCTGCCCAAGACTCTGGGTTCCCACCTTTTGCATCCGTGTGACCTGAATGTGAGACATGGAGTCAAAGAAGATTATTTTGGAAGTTTAAGGTTTAATGACTGCCCTATTGGATTTCAGATAGCATGGGGCCTGTAACCCTTTTGTTTTGGCCAATTTCTCCCATTTGAATTGGGTGTATTTACTCAATGCCTGTACCCCCATTGTAACTAGAAAGTAACTGACCTGCTTTTGATTTTACAGGCTTATAGGCAGAAGGGACTTTCCTTGTCTCAGATGAGACGTTGGACTTGAACTTTTGAGTTAATGCTGGGATGAGTGAAGACTTTGGGGGACTGTTGGGAAGGCATGATTGTGTTTTGAAATGTGAGAAGGACATGAGATTTGGGCAGGGCCAGGGGCAAAATTATGTGCTTTGCCTGTGTCCTCACCCAAATTTCACCTTGAATTGTAATAATCCCAATGTGTCAAGGGCAAGACCAGGTGGAGATAATTGAATCATGGGGGCAGTTTTCCCCATTCTGTTCTCATGATAGTGACTGAGTTCTCATAAGATCTGATGGTTTTATAAGGGGCTTCCTCCTTCACTCGGCTCTCATTCCCTCTCCTGCCACCCTATGAAGAGGTGCCTTATGCTATGATTGTAAGTTTCCTGAGGCCTCTCCAGTCATGCAGATCTGTGAGTCAATTAAACCTACTTCCTTTATAAATTACCCAGTCTTGAGAAGTTTTTTATGGCAGCGTGAAAATGGACTAATACAGTGGGCATCCTTGTCATATCTCAGATCTTAGAGGAAAGGTTTTCAGTTTCTCCACATTCAGTATGATACTAGCTATGGCTCTGTTTTATATGGTTTTAATTATGCTGGTGCACGTTCCTTCCATCCCCAGGTTTTTGAGAGTTTTTATCCTGAAGGAATGTTGAATTTTATTAAATGCTTTTTCAGCATCAATTGAAATGATCACATAGTTTTTATCCTTCATTCTGTTGATATGTCATTTGTTTCAAGGAATTTTTCAATTTCCTTCTTAATTTCTTCATTGACCCACTGGCCATTCAGGAGTACATTGTTTAGTTTCCATATATTTGTATAGTTTCCAAAATTCCTCTTGTTATTACTTACTAGTTTTATTCCATTGTGGTCAGAGAAGATGCTTGATATTATTTCAATTTTTTGAACGTTTTAAGACTTGTTTTGTGCCCTAATATATGGTTGATCTTTGAGAACGATCCATGTGCTGAAGAAAAGAATATGTATTCTGAAGTTGTTGGAGGAAATGTTCTGTAATTATCTAGATCCATTTGGTCTATAGTGCAGATTAAGTCTGATTTTTTTTTTTTTTTTTTTTGGTGATTTTCTGTCTGGAGGATCTGTCCAATGGTGAAAATGGTGTGATGAAGTCTCCAGCTATTATTTAATTGTGGCCTCTCTATTTAGCTCTGATAATATTTTCCTTATATATATGCTTTATTGAAGGCTATTTTCTCTGGCGATGTAATTTAGTTTTTTGCTTTATATTTTCTGTGTATCCATTGTATATTTTATGGTTTGAGTTTATCATGAGGCTTGGAAATACTACCAATAACCCATATTTTAACCTTATAACAACACTGTCTGCATAAGAAAACAAACAAACAAGTAAAAAACAAACTAATAAAAAGTCTATGGCTTAACTTCTTTGTCCACCTGCTTTTTATCGTTTCTTTTTTTCTTTTTCTTTCTTTTTTTTTTTTTTTTTTTTTTTTTTTTTTGTGAGACAGGGTTTTGCTCTGTCTCCCAGACTGAAGTGTAGTGGCAGAAGATTGACTCACTGCAACCTTCACCTCCTAGGCTCAATTGACCCTTTCACCTCAGCCTCTCAAATAGCTGGGATCACAGACACACACCATCACACCTGGATAATTGTTGTATTTTTTGTAGAGATGGATTTTTGCCATGTTACCCAAGATGGTCTCAAACTCCTAGGGTTCAGCAATTTGCCTGCCTCGGCCTCCCTAAGTGCAGAGATTAAAGGCATAAGCCACCACACCCAGTAACTTTTTAATGTTTTGTTGTTTGCATTTATATATTATTGTACTGACTAGGTCTTACTCCTGCCATTTTAATTGTTTTCTTTTCTTTTTTTTTTTCTGTCTTCCTTTAGTAAAGTTGATTTTATCTGGTGATATGATTCACTTTCTTGCTTTACATTATTTGTGTATTCACTGTATGTTTTTTGGTTTGTGGTTACCACGAAGGTTTCAAATACTATCATATAAACCACTGTTTTTAGCTGATAACAACGTAACACTCTTTGCATAAACAAACATACAAGCAAAAACAAAATTAATAAAAATTGTATACCTTAACTTTGTCCCCTTACTTTTAACTTTTTATTGTTTCTATTTACAAATTATTGTACTATGTCTTGAAAATTTGTTGCAGTTATTATTTTTTATTGCTGAGTCATTTAATCTTCCTACTTAGGATAAGAGCAGTTTACACACCACAGCTACAGTGTTATAATATTCCATGTTTATCTGCATACTTACTATTACCAGTGAGTTTTGTACCTTCAGGTGATCATTTATTACTCATTAATATCCTTTTCTTTCTGATTGAAGTACTCCCTTTAGCATTTCTTGTAAGACCTGCCTGGTATTGATGAAATCCCGCAGCTTTTCTTTGTCTGGGAAAGTTTTTATTTCTCCTTCATGTTGGAAGGATATTTTTGCCAGCTATACTATTCTAGGCTAAAAGTTGTTTTTCTTCAGCACTTTAAATATGTTATGCCACCATCTCCTGGCCTGTAAGTTTTCCAACAAAGAGTCTGCTGCCAGATATATTGGAGCTCTATTGTATGTTATTTGTTTCTTTTCTCTTGCTGCTTTTACTATCCTTTCTTTATCATTGATCTTGGGGAGTTTGATTATTCAACACCTTGAGGTAATCTTCTTTGGGTCAAATCTGCTTGCTGTTCTATAATCTTCTTGTACTTGGACATTGATATCTTTCTGTAGGTTTAGGAAATTCTCTATTATCCTCTGAATAAACTTTCTACCCCTATTTCTTTCTCTACCTCCTCATTAAGGCCGATAGCTCTTAGATTTGCCTTTTTGAGGCCATTTTCTAGATCCTTTTGGTGTGCTTCTTTGTTTTTCTCCTGATATGAAAGAAATAAGAAAAAACAAAGAAGCACATCAACAGGATCTAGAAAGTGCTTTTCAATTATACTGTCTTGAAGCTCACTAATTCTTTTTTCTGCTTGATCAATTCTGCTACTAAAAGACACTGATGCATTCTTCATTGTGTCACTTGCATTTTTCAGCTGTAGAATTTCTGCTTAATTCTTTTAAATTATTGTCATCTATTTGTTAAATTAATTTGATAGAATTCTGAGTTCCTTCTGTGTGTTATCTTGAATTTTTTTGAGTTTCTTCGGCACAGCTATTTTGAATTCTCTGTCCAAATAGTTACATATCTGTCTTTCTCCAGGATTGATCCTTGGTGCCTTATTTAGTTCATTTTGTGAGTTTATATTTTCCCAGATGGTATTGATACTGGTAGATATTCTTTGGTGTTTGGGCATTGAAGTGTAAGGTATTTATTGCAGTCCTCACTGTCTGAACTTATTTGTAGTCCTCCTTCTTGCTAAGGCTTTCCAGATATTTGAAGAGACTCGTGTGTTGTGATCTAAGCTGTATATACTTTAGGGTGTACCCCAAGCACAGTAACATTGTGGTTCTTGCAGACTCATAGAGATGCCACTTTGATTTTCTTGGACAACATCTGAATGAATTATATGGATTACCAGGCAGACTCTTGTCCTCGTTCCTTTTTTTCTTTCAAACAGAGTCTCTCTCTGTTCTGAGCCATTTAATGCTGTGGGTGGAGTAACATAAGCACCCCTGAGGCTACTACCACTATGACTGCACTGGGTCACATGTGAAGCCAGCACAGCACTGGGTCTTGCCCAGTGTTGTAACCACTGGCTGTAAGCTCTGCTGTAATAACTCCCTGGATACTGCCTATGTTCACTCAAGGGCCTGAGGTTGTACAATCAGCAGATGGCAAAACCATCAAGGTCTGGGTCTTTCACTTCAGGGTGGTGAGGTCCCCCAGGCTTAGGTGGGTTCAGAGTTACTGTCCTGGGATTCAGGAAGAGGAGTCAAAAACCTTAATAATCTACCTGGTGTTCTATTGTACTGTGGCTGAACTGGCACTCAAATCACAAGACACCATCCTTCCCACTCTTTCTTCCCCTTTCCAAAGGCATAGAAGCCTCACCTCATAGCCACCACCACCCCATGCCACAAGGAGTACTGCCAGACTACCACTGATGTTCCTTTAAGGCCTTAGGGCTCTTAAGTTAGCTTGTGGTGAATGCTGACTGACTGGAACTCACCCTTCAGGGCAGTGGGCTTCCCTCTCCCCCAGGGCAGGTCTAGAAATGCCATCTAAGAGCAAAGTTCTGGAATTGGGGACCCCCAAAAGCCCACTTTGTGCTCTACATCCCTGTGGTTGTGCTTGTACTTAAGGTGCAAGACAAAGTCCCCTTTCCTTTCCCTCTGATTTTCTCAAGCAGAGGGAGTTTTGCCCAATAGCCAACACAGCTGATAACAGGCTTAGTCTTATCTGAAGCCAGCAGGTCTCAGAGGATCCCGCAAGGCCCTCAATGTAGTACCTGAGTATTGTTGCTTGTTATTTGAGTCCTAAAGTCTCTTCAATTTGCAGGTAATTAATGCTTTCAGGACGCTGTCCTTTCTTTCAAGGCAGCAGGTTCCCTTCTGGCCTAGGGTGTGTCTAACAATGTCACCTGAGAGCTAGAGCCTGGAATGGGGGCCTCATGACTCTAACCAGTGCCCTATCCTACTGTAGCTCATCTGGCATCCAAGATGCAAATCAAAGTCCTTCCCAGTCTTCCTTCTCCTTTCCACAAGTGGAAGGAAGGGGCCTTTTTGGAGCTGTGAGGTATGCAAACTGGAGTTAAAGAAGGGGTGATGCCAGCACTCTCTTGGCTGCCCCAGCTGGTGTCTCAGTATGTCTCACCTTCCTTTCCCACCAATCCACTGTCTCTGGGCCTAGTTCAGCAATAAGACTACCTAAGAGTTGCAGTCCTTATGGCCTGGACTGCCTTTCAAGTTTACTTAGAGTCTGAGAGCACTTTGGTCCTTGGTAGCAGTGAGGTTTGTGAGTCCTCAAGTTCAGATCACTGGGATTGGCAAATCCCTTTTGGCTAGGACTGGTTTAAATGCTTCCTTCATGGACAGGCATCAGCTGAGTTTGGCCTGGTTTTTCTTTGTGCTCTAACAGGACAGCAGCGAGTTCAGTGCTTCACAATTGCTGTGTCTCTCACAGTGGTCAAGGAGGCTCACTGCACCAAGCCACAGCTGCCTGGGGTGGGGGAGGGGTGGCATTGAGGATTCAAGATTATTTTTTCTATCCCTTCAGTGCCTCTTTCAGCAATATAAAGTTATAACCAGGCACTATGATTGGTTACCTGATTTTTGGTTCTTTTTTTTTCTTTTTCTTTTTCTTTTTTTGTGATGGAGTCTGGCTCTGTCACCCAGGCTGGAGTGCAGTGGCACAATCTCGGCTCACTGCAAGCTCCACCTCCCGGGTTCATGCCATTCTCCTGTCTCAGCCTCCAAAGTAGCTGGGATTACAGGCGCCCACCACCACGCCCGGCTAATTTTTTGTGTTTTTAGTAGAGACGGGGTTTCATCATGTTAGCCAGGATGGTCTCGATCTCCTGACCTCGTGATCCGCCTGCCTCGGCCTCCCAAAGTGCTGCGATTACAGGCGATTTTTGGATCTTATGAAAATGTTTTTCCTGTGTAGATAGTTGTTAAATTGGTGTCATTGTGGGGGAGGGGGCAGGGGTGGGGACATAATCAGTGGAGCCTTCTATTTTGCCATGTTGATCTGCCCAGAGTCCCTTCCTAGTTTCTTGAGATAAATACTTATATCACTAGATCCTTCCTCTGTCCAATTTCCTGCAGTGTCTCACTTTGGCAAACTCAGTCAGAAGTCAGCCAACATGAGCCTAGAAAACATAACCTCATGTGTTAGCCCCCTTCCATTTCAGAGCAAAACAGGGGAAGGTCAAGGGATAAATCTGACAACCAACAGGCAAACTTCCACTACAGAGCATAAAATCTGGAGATGAACCTTGGGCAAACCTTGAGGACGCTCTTTAACTGCTTAAAGACTTGTTATATGTGAGAGGGACTTAATATGTTATGTGTAAATCCAGAGGTCAGTACTAGTATAAATGGGGGAAATTATAGAAAAATAGATTATAACTCAATATAAGAAAAAACTTATAACAATGAGAGGCCCACAAATGCAGACGAGATAAAGTATAGAAAATCAGGCACTCTCATAAATTTTTGGTTTGAACACATTTTAACAAGATCTCTCAGAATTTAAAGTACGATTTCACTCAACAATTCTACTTTTAGAGTTTTCTTGCATAAGTCTTATTATAAATGTGCACCAAGAAGTATGTACAAGGATAGGTACTAAAGATTGCTTGCATTACCAAACAACTGGAAACAATGTAAATGTCTATCAATAGGAAACTGACAAAATAACTTATGATACATCTGTGCAATCACAATGTTGTGAAGCCATTTAAAAATGTGGCAGATCTAGATTTTCCAGAATAAAGTCCAAGATATATTTTGTGGAAAAGGCAACATGCAAAGCAGTTTCATAGCACGCTATTATTTACATAGTGTGCTATTATGTGTGTAAAAAGAAAGGAAGGCAGATAGACACATATGTGCATATTCTGTATGTGCACATAAAAGCTCTAGAAAGATTAACAGGAAGCTACCAAGTGGTAAAAACAGGAATATTGAAGGCATAGATTATCTGAATTTTTATAAATCAGATGAATTAGCACAAATCCACATTTCTAGGTACATTTTTATAGATAAAATGAAGAATAGTAGCTGAAATATTGGGTGAATACTAATTAATGGATCAATATCAACTACAAATAAAGTCTCTGTATTGTGCCACAGAGCTCTATCCTCTATTTTGCTCAGCATGGTTAGGAATGATTTTGATGAGAAAATGGATGATAAACTAAGCAATGTTTTATATCAGAAAACTTATAAAAGTTGGCTGGGCATGGTGGCTGACACCTGTAATCCCAGCACTTTGGGAGGCCAAGGTATATGGATTGCTTGAGTCCAGGAGTTCAAGACCAGCCTGGGCAACATGATGAAACCCCGTCCTACAAAGACTAGAAAAATCAGCTAGGCATGGTGGCACACACCTGTAGTCCCAGCTACTCAGGAGGCTGAGGTGGGAAGATTGCTAGAGCCTAGGAGGTAGAAGTTGCAGTGAGCCGAGATCATGTCACTGCACTCCAGCCTGGGCAACAGAGCAAGACACTGTCTGCAAAAAAAAAGAAAGAAAAAAAAGAAAACTTGTAAAAGTAACAAATGCATTCCACTGGATTGCTGGTCATTGTTCAATGCTCTTATAAACCAAAGTTATCTACATTCCTTAAATTAACATTTGGATAGAAACTGAGCAAATAAAAGGAATTACTGTCATTGTCATCAATTTCACATTTTAAAAAAGAAATTTGACAATTACTATATTCTCTATATTTTTCAAGAATAATGAATTTGGAGCCGGGCATGGTGGCTCATGCCTGTAATCCCAACACTTTGGGAGGCTGAGGCGGGTGGATCCTGAGGTCAGGAGTTCAAGACCAGCTTGGCCAACATAGTGAAACCCTGTCTCTACTAAAAATACAAAAACTTAGCTGGGCATGGTGGCGGGCACCTATAACACCAGCTACTAGGGAGGCTGAGGCAGGAAAATTGCTTGAACCCAGGAGGCAGAGGTTGCAGTGAGCCAAGATCGTGCCATTGCACTCCAGCCTGGGCAAAAAGAGTGAAACTCCATCTCCAAAAAAAAAAAAAAAAAAAGAATAATGAATTTGTTTAATTCTGAGTCAAATAAGAAGTATTAATTTTCTTTAAATGTTAATAAAAAAGCTATTTAAGTGTTTACTTTTCATATCTTCCTGTAAACATGTAAAAGAAATTATTTGGGGGAATTTTAGTTATTTTCATTACAAAAAGTCAATAAATGACAACATTTTAGATTACTTACTGGAGCTATTGCACCTTATTTAAGAACATAGAAGATACTAAAAATAAATGTCTCAAGGACAATGATGTAAAGAGATTCAGGTCACCACAAAAATAACGATTTGCAGCTCTATAGCTTGCTATATTAAAACAATCTTCCAAATATTCAGCT